>NC_000017.11:9885050-10036565 GCF_000001405.40 Homo sapiens | reverse complement strand
CCCATTTCCCGGAGAGGCTGCCATGAAGAGGAAGCCGGCGGAGTCTTGGTGCTGAGTCTGAGGGCTTCAGGCAGGACCCAAGACTCTCCTCTGAGGTAGCAGCCCCCAGAGAAGGTTAGCTGTTCTCTGATGGTAAGAATTGATTTTTCTTGCCTGCAGATGTATGCTCCAGTTTGCTTTTCTCTGCATGTTTCTAAAATGACTGTGCCATGGTAAAGAGGCAGCTCTGAAAACTGAGATTTGGGGTCTAACTGCTGAGCTGTGGTGGTCTGGGGACCCTGTGTGCTAGGGGGCACCTTTCACAGATCCAAGGCATGAGCAGGGAGGAAAAAAAAAAAAGACGTGGGTCATTGTGTGAGAGATCAGGAAAAGCGGATGGGAGGAGGAGAAAGATTTATGAAGGATGTCTTGGAGAGAAAGGAAGTCTTGGCTCCCCTAGTTACCTGGGGAGCAGTTTCGTAGTTGGAGCTGTGTGATGGAGAAGCAGAGTGGTGATGTGATTTTAATGGAGTCCAAACCTTGCTTCCTCCATGTAACTTTTTCCAAGTAAGAAACTTGGATTCTACCCACCTATCTGGCTTTTACCCCACGGCCCAGTTCTAGCTGGGGCATTGTAAGGCAAAAGCCATTTGAGGACTATAAAACTTTATGAAGGTAAGTGGGAGCTCCTGGGGTCATGGCTCCCTAGCAGAAGTACCTGCCCAGTAATGCACTGTGCTTCCAGGCTTGGCTGAGACATCTTTCCAGCTTGGTGGTGGAGGCTGCAACAGTGATGATGGAAGCTCTTCTGATACTTAGCAGTACAACAGCCTTGTTTCACCAATCTTTCCACCCCCAGAAGTTACGCATCCATCTTCTTTCTTTGCAAAGGAGGACCTCCAAGAGAGTGGTGATCACTCTCTTGAGGCTCTGTACAGCTGTGAGAGGTCCAGGTTGCATGGAAAGGCTGGCCTGTTTTGGTACATGGTCTCCCTCCAGGATATGCTCTCCCACCTCCCTGGGCCCATCAGCATCTCTGATTCTGGCATGGCTTCCTGTTCCCACAGTGCCAGGGGAAGGGAGATGGTGCTTGTTATCCAGGAGCATCTCTAACGGGTTAGTTGACCTAGGACCGTCCACAGCAGTGCTTCTCAAAGGTTAACGTGCATCTGAACTACCCGGGAACCTTTAAAATGTAAGATCCGGTGCTGGGGCAGGACCTGGGGCTCTGCATTGATAGCCAGATCCCAGAGAACTTCATGCTGCCCGTGCGGGGGCCACACTTGGAGATTTGCTGCTGTGAGGAACCCAGACCAATCACTCAAGTTCTGACCAAGGTGTGGCTGCCTTGGGTCTGACTGTAGGGCACAGGGAGTTCTGGCAGGCCTGTGTGTGGATCGTGGTTGGGTGCTTCATGGGGGTGGAGGGAGTAGCAGAGAAGAAGAACACTGAAGGGCATGCAAGGAGCTGGGAAGAGCCGAAGTCAAGCTCTTGGGAAGAGGGCGTGTGGGGTGCAGAGGCTGTTGGTGGGCTGCCCCCAAGCTGAAGTGGGCTGTGTGTTAGGGGTGTAATGTGAGCAGTCAGCCAGAAGTGCTAACTGCTAACAGGCCCAGAAAAATTCCACTGGAACCCGCCTTTGGTGCATCCAGGGTGATGCAGAGACAGAAGCCCAGGATTCCAGGGCAGAAATCCAGTTGCTAGGCAAATAGAGCTAAGACCACTCACGTGGCTCGGAGGAGTGACAGGGAAGAGGTGGACGCATCAGGACAGAACTCAGTGTGGTGAGAGGTGGAAGCACAGAATCCTGGGTGCAGTAAGGCAGGATCCTTGGTGTTTGGGGCACAGCCCACGTTTCAGGAACAGTCAGATGCCTCCTAGACATGATGCCCATGTCTACACTTGAATGTGACTTTTTTTCTCCTATTAAAATGGCATGTCCTTAAAACATATATACTAATGCTGACATTTAGAATTATTGGGCCGGGCGCAGTGGCTCACGCCTGTAATCCCAGCACTTTGGGAGGCCGAGGTGGGCAGATCACCTGAGGTCAGGAGTTCAAGGCCAGCCTGGTCAACGTGGTGAAACCCCGTGTCTACTAAAAATACAAAAATTAGCCAGGCGTGGTGATAGGTGCCTGTAATCCCAGCTAATTGGGAGGCTGAGGGAGGAGAATCGCTTGAACCTGGAAGGCTTAGGTTGCAGTGAGCCGAGATCACGCCACTGCACTCCAGCCTGGGTGACACAGCAAGACTGTCTAAAAAAAAAAAAAAGAATTATTAAGTATTAGGCTATATATATGTATATATGAAAGCCCTTGGAGACCATCTGGTCCAACTTCCGTGTTTTAGAGATGAAGCAATTGAGGCCTCCCAGCAGAGATGGAAGAGGTTGCTCAAGATCTGCCAGCGAGACTGCTGCAGCTTTACCAGCTCCGATTCCCATCCTGTGTTCTTCGCACGGTGGCACAGAGCAGTGGTAGGTCTCACATCTCCATAGCAAGGCCCTTGGCTGTCACCATTTGCCTACTTTATATGTGCCAGCGGCAGCAGCTCCAGAAATGTTAGTTGAATCGGGTTGGTGAGAATTGCACCCCTTACTGAGTCTTGGAAACGGTTCCAGCCCTTATTAGACTTCATTTCCCTCCAGAGCTCAGGGTTCAGACCTCATCAGGAACCATCTCTCGGAGTCAGAAGTCTTTGATTAGAATCACTTGGAGCACAGGCCGTAGGCACTGCAGTCAGTGGAATGAGTCTCCGTGTTGGGGAAATGAGCTGCTTCCATTTTCCTTCAGTGCCTGCAGGCCACTCCAGCCAGCAACTGGTGGCCACAAAGCCAGGCCAGCTGGATCGCAGGTGCAGGCGGGCCGTCAGAGGCACCTACTCTTATACCATAATGAGCTTCAGTCTGCCTTCTTTACAACAGCACTAATTCCCCGAGGAAGCCAGCTTTTGCCCCCCGGTGCATCTGCGGGCAGCAGCTGTGTCGCTTGTGCTTGAAGATCCTTTCTGGTGAGCGGGCTGCTTTGCATGAGATACTGAGCCTGTTACTGATCCAGCTAGCAACTTTGGACTCCCTCCCTTGCTTCTGAACTTAAATCCATTTTGAATGCAATAGGACGCTTGGTAAATTTGGTTCTGGGGTTTTCCTCAGAAGTCTAGAAAGTGCCCAAAACAATGACATAAGGCATTTGGGGGCTTTGCAGCTTAATACTAAAGGAAGGCTAGGGAGGATAGTCTCTCTGTCTCTCTCTCTCTCTGGGCCATACCAAGTTTGGCAAAACTCTCTTGTTCCCAGGCTTTTTCTGCTGCAAAGGGAAGTTGACCAGCAATCCTTTAGAGGGGCCCTCACCCTTCCAGGAACTCCCTAGGGAGTCTGTTAGGTCAACAATCTACAAAATGTCCTTCAAAAGTGTTTTCTAGGTCAGGACAAGTGATATCGTTATAGATATCAACTAGCATAGAAAACCTAGGATGCATGTCAAGATCATTAATCTTTAGGACGAAGAGAAAAGTACTAGCTCAACTCCTTCCTTTGACAAATAGGGACGTTTCAGCATTAATTGGCCGTAACAGGGACCTGTGGCAAAGGGGAAGAGAATCCCCAACTGTTCAGCCTCCCCATACAGACCTGAGGTCATGTGCACTATCGCATACCGTGATTTGGGCATGCATTTCATTTCCAATTTTTGGTATATCACTTCGCTTTGTTGGTGTCTCAGACAAGCCTTTCTTTCCCACCGATTCTAAGTCAGATTTGGTTGAGTAAATGAAAGGGTATCTAGACCAAAAGAGTTTGAGACCTCTTTCTCTTTAGAGCCCAAAAGTGTTTGGAGGGAAGCTTGCAGCGAGCAAAGCAATATTTCATCAAGATTTGTGTCTTGTCAGGCCTCTGTCGTCTCTTTTGTTTATGTGGCTGCTGTTTTTGGAAGCTGAGCTGGACATTTAACTGCCTTGATATTTTCCTTGTGGTTTTAGGCTGTGTTACAAAAGCCGTCCCATGCATGGGTTATAGGACCTCAAGGCTAGCAATCCCCCCATTTCACAGATGAGGAAACAGAGGCCCAGAGAGGCTAAGATAATTGCACACATCACAGCTTGCTGTCTGGGAACACAGCACCTCTTTATGCCTAGGCCTTTGTGCTGTCTCCTAATGCTTTTGTCATCCTGAGTTGGGGCTAGGATATCAGAATGGCCCACACTATTTTTATTCTGCTAGGGAAGGGGGAGGAGGAAAGAAGCAACATTCCTCAACAGTTCATCAGGAAATGGAGAGTTTGAATAAAATGTCTCTGTTAATCAAAAGCCAGCGAGCACAGTCATTCAGGTTTTCTGGCTTGGAATCCAGAAGCTGGAACCGGCTATTGGGAGGAGTCTACCTTGTCATTTAATAATTACATTTTTAATTGTGCTGAAACATCAGGACCAGAGAGACCTTGAAATGGAACAAAATGTAGGGTTTTTTTTTTTTTTTTTTTCTGAGGTTCCCCAACCCCTCCAGGCTTCAAGGCGGGGAAGCAGTCCCTGCTTCCCTTGTTATTTCTGGAGCTGTTCTCTGTATTTCAGGGGTGCTTGTGGGATGACACTCCAGGTCCTCCACCCCAGATCCTGTGGTTCTAAAACACAGTCATAAGGCCTTTAGGCACCTGCTCCAAACCCGTCTATCAGAGGCCAAAAGAGTGACTCTGATATTTGGTGGCACAATTATGCTGGTTCGTCAATGCCGAGATTCTTCCAAAACATGCTGAAGAGTGGGCGTCTCTCAGATCCCCATCATGCCGTATGGCGCCGCTGGGGAGATGCCACCAACGAAAAGGACGGGCCATCTCAGATGCAAGAAACATGCTCACATTCAGAGTTTTCCTCATTTCTTGCATTGTCTCCTCTGGAACCCTATTAACTGGCCCTTCTGTCTTACATTCGTACAGCAGGTGCAACGACCATAAAAATCTCATTCTCCAGAGTCAGAGGAGGAAGGGTCATGCAGGAATAGGGGTTCTGCAAGGCCCACGTGGAAGGCATTTCTTTCCTACCCTCTGCCGACAGCTTGATTCTCAGATGCTGCAAGGCTGTGACATGACTTCTGACCCAGGAGGGGCCGTCCAACTCATCCTTGCAGTTTGCAGGATCATTTGCAAATCTTTTCATCAATCCTTGTCCCCCCGGAGACTCCATATTTCCAGCTTGGCAAGTTTCCCTGTGAGGGTTGATGGGTGAACTTCCTGTATCCTTGCTGCAGGGACTGCGTTGTAATTATGTTCATCAAAATTCCTGGTTAACCAGATCACTCCATTTCTTTACAGGGTCAGAAAATACAGAGTCTATTGTTCTGTGTCCTCTCCCTGCCCAGTCTTGACAAACATACCCAATGAATTGACTGGCCCTCAGGGATGTGCTGGGGGTTTGCAGGGTGGCTGTGACCCTTGCCAAGCCTACCAGGAGCTGGATAGGTCTGGAGTGTCCCAAGTGGTTCAGCCTTCAGGCCCATGGCTGGGAGAAAACTCCCATGGCCCTAATGTCTACCTCTTATGATGGGTGCCAGTGACAGCCACAGTGTGAGGCTTCCTCTTGCCACTTCGTGGACAGAGGACAGTGATGGTGTTGGGGAGGAAGTAGCTAATGCAGATGAAGAAGAGTATGCCGGACACTCCATGGCGACTGGAGTTGCAACCTGGTTGGGGAGCCCAAGCGAGTCACTTTTGGATTCGTCCAAGGAGGCTGGTGGGGGTGGGCGTCTGATGTGAGCAAGTGGGATATTCAAGCCAGCGAGGTGCTGATGATTGCTGCCACATACATTGTCACCCCATTCATCTATCTACACCAAGTAGTGAGGCCTGAGGACACTTGGATAGTGCCAGGTTTGGAAGAGGCCGGAGGACATTTGCATCTACTAAAGCCTCATTTGAGAAGTTTCTTTTAGGGACTCAAGGAGGCAGCCCTGCTCACTAGGTGATTTCTAATAAGAAGGGTTTGAGGTGACACACAGAGGACTCTGGTAATACCTCCGACAAATTTTGCAAATAGAAAACTGGGAGAAAGGAAGGCGACCCTCCTGGCTCTTGTGGCTTCTTGCTGGTGAGAACTGCAGGTGTGCCTCATGCACCTGACCCCCTTTTCACACGGGTCCAACCACAGTTCCACAGGACATGGTCATGCTCAGGCCCAGGCCCGAAATTAGCCGCATGCTCTTCTCTGTATTTTGGCCCTGAGAACCCTTTGAAGGCTTACAAAGCCAAACAGGTGTTTCAGATGAGGTCTTTGGAAAGCCCTGGGTTCCTACTGATTTTTCCTTCATCCACAAAGTACTTTGGTCCCAACCTATCCACCTGAATGGATTCCAGGGCTCAGGATTCCCCCTGGAAGCTGACTGCCCCCTCGGGGCCAATACAACCCGGTAGAGGTAAGACTCAAAAGACTCACAGCACCAGGGATTTGGGTCTCCAAGGCCCCTTCCCTCTGTTGTGTTCCTTCAGGTTGAGAACCTGTCAGTTTCTAGGAAAAGACAAGAGTGGACATGAGAAGCAAGGACAGAGGATGGATGCCAACTGGTCAGGTACCTGATACCTGATATTTGGCAGGAGGGACAACAGGACACGGATGCTTCACTATGGGGACGGGAGGAAGGTCAGCGTTTTGTTTCCATCTCCCTCGGTGTTCTCATGATCTCAGTGTTCCTCCTGCCTCTTGATCTCTTCTAGTATATATAATTATAATTATTATTATTATTGTTTTTTTTTTGAGACGGAGTCTCGCTCTGTCACCCAGGCTGGAGTGCAGTGGCATGATCTCAGCTCACTGCAATCTCCGCCTTCTAGGTTCAAGCAATTCTCCTGTCTCAGCCTCCCTAGTAGCTGGGACTAAAGGTGTGCACCACCACGTCTGGCTAATTTTTAAATTTTTTGTGGTGATGGAGTTGCTGTGTTGCGCAGGTTGGTCTTAAACTCCTGGGCTCAAGTGATCCCCCTACCTTGGACTCCCAAAATATTAGGATTATAGGCATGAGGCACCGCACCCAGCCCTTTTCTAGTACTGTCTATATTTGAGACTCAGGTTATAATTTCATTTTTTTACAGTATATATTGAGAATAGCAACATGTATACATGATTGTATAACTAGAAATGCATAATTACGTATGCATTTCTGTAAGCTGCTTTCAGCGTTCAGCCTGGATCCTTTTGTGCCGTGATTTCGTCATTCTTCACCTTTATTTGTCTTGCTCTTTCAGGCAGTTGAAGTACATCTCTTAAGTACTTCTGCTAAGGAGGACATGAGTACTTGTCTCTAGAAGAATATGTTTCTGTTGCCTTCCCTTGTGAAAGACAGCTTGGCTACCTTGAAGTACAATGAAGGTCGTGGTATTTTCCCCATCATGCACCGGAGATGTCTTTTGAGATGTGGCTACAGAGAAGTTTGAGACCAGCCTTCTTTTTATTCTTGCACTGGTCTTCCCACGTAAATGATTACAGGACTTTTATCCTTATCTTTGCTGTGTAAATATGTTGTTAGGGTATGTCTGCTGGTTGGTTTTTTGAAATCCACTTTGCCTTGAACAGCGTAGGACGTCCCGTGTGGCCCAGCTCTGGAACTTTCCTCCCCATCAACCTTTGTTTATTCTTTCTTTTCTGTTAGAGCTTTTCTGCTGGTCTCCTCTTCAGGAACACCCAGTATCCATGTCTTGGTTTGCTGTTCTGTCCTCACGTTTGCATTTTTCCCATTTCCTTTGCATTCTGGGGAAAAAACAATTCTCGTTTGTTCTGTACATAACGAATTCACTTTGTTTTGCAGTATTGATTCCATGTTTTATTGCAACCAATGTGCATTTTCCTTCTGTTACAACCTTTCAAACTTCCCTATAATTTTTATCATTTCCTGTTCCTTTTTTATATCATTTTGGTTTTTTTTTTTCAAACCAACTTGCCTTGTTTTGTTCTCTTCTTATGAGTTTTTGTTCTTGTATCATAATGTCATATCTTCCTGCCCTTTGTTGAGGTTGCTAGATACTTTTCTGAGATGTTTCTTCTGGATACTATGTGAGATCCTGATGAGAAGTTTGTGTTTCTCTTGAGGCTTCTAGGCTTCTGGATGTTCTTCCTCTATCTATTTTCTGCAATAAAATAAACAATACATATTATCTTGCCTCCCCCTTCCCCATTTGTGCAGCTCTTACAAAATACCTGAGACCAGATAATGTATGAGGAACAGGAATGTATTTATTTATTTGAGACAGTATCTCACTCTGTCGGCTGGAGTGCAGTGGCACAATCATAGCTTACTGCAGTCTCTAACTCCTGGGCCCAAGCAGTCCTCCCCCCTCAGCCTCTCAAGTACCTGGAGCTACAGATGCGTACCACCATGCACAGCTAAATTTAAAAAAAAGAAATGTTAAGGCCGGGCGCAGTGGCTCACGCCTGTAATCCCAGCACTTTAGGAGGCCAAGGTGGGTGGATCATGAGGTCAAGAGATCGAGACCATCCTGGCCAACGCGGTGAAACCCCGTCTCTACTAAAAAGCAGAACAAAACAAAACAAAATACAAAAATTAGCTGGGTGTGGTGGTGCATGCCTGTAATCCCAGCTACTTGGGAGGCTGAGGCAAGAGAATTGTTTAAACCTGAGAGGCGGAGGTTGTAGTGAGCCGAGATCGTGCCACTGCACTCCAGCCTGGCGACAGAGTGAGACTCCGTCAAAAAACAAAACAAACAAACAAAAAACCTTTATTTTTGGAGAGATGGAGGGGCGGTGGGGTCTCACTATGTTGTCCAGGCTCTCCTTGAACTCCTGGCCTCAAGCAAACCTCCTGAGTAGCTGGGATTATAGGCACAAGCCACGATGCCTAGCTCAAGAACAGGACTTCCTCACAGTTCTGGAGACTGGGAAGTTCCAAGATCAAGGTGTCGGCAGGTTCTGTTGTCTGGTGAGGACTGTTGTCTGCCTCCAAGATGGCACCATGTTGCTGTGTCTGCCAGATAAAGGAATAGCGTGTCCTCACATGGTGGAAGGCAGAAGGACAAGCTAGTGAATACCGCGTGAAGCTGCTTTGATAAGAGCCTCAATCCCACTGAAGGAGGCGCCCTCATGGGCTGATCACCTCTTAAAGGTCCCACCTCTTAATCCTACCATGTTGCCAACGCCTGAGTTTTGGAGGGGACACATTCAAACCATAGCAGAGTCCATTCAATAGATCCATTAAGAGCTGGGATTTGTTCACAGATGGGGCACACACACTTTCTCTAACTCCCACTCCCATTCCCTGTCTGCTTATTTGGTAAAATAGCCTCCTCAAATATTTCTGAAGCCTAGTTCCTACTATAATTCTCAGTTTTCATTCACTCATTCATTCATTCATTCATTCATTCATTCATTCATTGTTCTGGGCACTGTGCTGAGATTAAAGCTGTGAAAAGAGGGATAGGGACATGGCCCTGTCTTCCCGAATCTTATAGTCTGTTTCTTTGTTGATATGGCAGCTCTCCCAACCTCCTCCTTCCAGGCCAAGTCTCTGAATCTCTGACCTTTAGAAGAAAATGAAGACTCTGCCGGGGTCCAGCCTGTCTCCTGCATAACTACTGGGTGAAGACTGCAGTCCTCAGGATGTGTTGTGACGTTGCCAGGGGTCCCCTACTATTTTCTGTGCACTGAAATTTCTGAGTATGGCTAGAAAGGCTGCTGGAGTTGGGGAGCGCAATACTTTCACCTGTGAGACAGGAAATGCGCCCAGTATTCTTAGAGACAGACTCTGGGGCTGGTGATGTCACTGTTGCATGATTTGTGTCTTAACCCAGAGCTGGAGGAGAGTATCCTTCTCGGGTAGCTGTTCCCAGCTCTGTGTAGGAGTCTGCCCACCTAAACAGGTGTCCACCAGGAAGGCATGACGTGGGAGTGAATTGCCAGTCTCCAGCCCTGCTGGGTCTTGATCTTCCTGGTGGGCTCTGGCAGCCCCATTAGTAATTGGTTGACTCCCTGAGGAGTGCAGAGCTGGCAGTGGGGCCACTCCTGGCTGCTGAGTCCAGGACTACTCCGGGACTCAACCTTCCCAGGCGTGCCCAGCCATGCCCTGGCTGCTTCTGGGTGTCCAGCTGCCTCCGTGGTTGGGGAAGAGAGAACTTGCTGGAGAGTCCTTTGTGGAGGAGCCTTCAAGCAGTGCCAATCACGGCACTGGGCTCATTAGCAAGCATTGCCATAGCAACGGGTCTGCCAGAAAGTGGCTCGTTAGGCTGACAACTTCAGAGCTGTTATATATAGATCTGGGTGTGGGGGGAGTGGGGGTGTGGGGCCCTGTGGATATGCTTTTCTTTAGAGCTCCTATTGCTTCTGGGTTTGGGGTGTGAGAGGATGCAGAGTGGGAGACCTTAAAACCGTCTGATCTGGCTGCTAAAGCGAGTGTCTGACGACCACCCATTAACACCAGCGAGTAGCGTTTGCTCACGGCTTTAGGATAAGGTAAGAGTCAGGTGTTCTCAGAAACCTCCGGAGGGGGAGAGAGTCCCGGAGGTGGAGGTGGCATCCGGGTTGAACTTGAGCTTGAAGCATGGTGGGAGCGGTAGGGAGCGGAGTAGCAGGGTCTGTACTGCCTGGAGGCTGCAGAGACAACCTCCACCGTCTGTTAAATAGTTTATTTGAAGGGTTTGGGGCAATGGAACAGAATCTTTTTCTTTAATAAGTCACTGTGCAGCCCAACACTGTCTTTTTACAAATCATGCTTATAAAAATTCTATGATCTCAGTTTTCATTTCAGAAGTGATGTTTTTTCTCAGTTGCTGCCTCTAATGCTGCAACGGAGTGGCTTTAGAGCACAGGACTCACCCAGGATCACTGTGACAAATGCAGCCTCCCAGGCTGCTCTGGAGATTGAGTCAGGCCCCAGAGTGTGCACTTGAACTCACATCCCAGGTGACTGCTGGGGTGGCCCACGGTGACCATACTTTGAAAAACACTGCTGTGGGGGGATTTGTTTTTGATCTCTGTAATCTCTGGGTGACTTTGCTTGCCTGCTTTTTTTTTTTTTTAAAGGAGGAATCAGTAGCCACCATTAAGGGGAAAATTTTGGGGGTTGCGTTGTTTTTTTAAATAAAGAGACAAGGAAGTCAGCCTACAGCTAGGGAACGTGACGGCCTGGACGCGGGCGGTGATATTTTTGCACATCATATGCTCACTTGGGGACTGGGAGACAGGAGGATCAGGCTTGAGTTGTCATCCTCCTTGGGAAGGAGCTGGGGTGTCAGGTGGTCTCAGTGAGGAAATGGAGCTGAGTAGGTGTAGCTGGGGAGAGATGTGGCCCAACTTTAAGGTAACTGGATAGAAGTCTCTAGAACAAAGCTATTATTTTAATTAATTAATTAATTAATTTTGTGTAGAGATGGGGTCTTGCTCCATTGCCCAGGCTGCCCTTGAACTCCTGGCCTCAAGCAATCCTCCTGCCTCGGCCTCCCAAAACACTGGGATTACAGGCATGAGTCACTGCATCTCGCCAGCTGATATTTTTAAGCAGTTTGTTTTTACCATTAACCGTGCCACACTGGGCAAGTTATTAAACTCTCTGCGTCTCAGATGCCTTGTTTTAAAGCGGGGATAAATGCCATCTATGAGGCAGGCTTGTTGTGACGAGTAGCTGATTGTCTAAAGCACCCAGTCCAGTCTGGCATGCATTATAGATATTTGGTGACTGGTAAAAAGTCATTATCGATGGGTACAGATGGACCTGGGCTCAGATATTTCTCGAGTCCTTTCTAGAGTAGGGTTCTGAAGTAGTGTAGAAACCTCCTGATATTACTTATGAAATAGCGTGTGTGTGTATGTGCACCCATTTTAGGGGACAGAAGATCCATAGCCTTCCTCAGATTCTTAAAGGATGCTCTTTCCATATATATCATTGAGCAGGTTGCCTACTGAACAAGGAGGCCCAGGTGAGGGTGGATGGAGAGGGACTGAAGCCTGTCCTTGCAATCTGGCCAAGGGATGGTCCCTTCCAGAGGAAGAGGCCGCGTTTTATTATTCCCACAAAGACACCCTGTATTAGGTAAAGAATTTCTGAGTTAGAAAGAACTTCCTTCGTTTTCCCCCACCCCAAATCCTGCTACCTCTGATCTTGTTCCTTCCAGGTGGGGTCTGTCCCCAGCCCCCGGGCCTGTGTCACCTCTGCTTCCAGTACAGTTCCCACGGGAAAGTGCTGACAGAATTGAAGGGAAAAAGCCACAGGACTAAGGAAGAGAAGGGAAGGATTTAACTTGGAAGGAAACTAATTAGAAGAATAAGATTGAGAGAGACCTTAATTATTGGGTGGTTATGCACACTGTGTCCTCTGGATGCCTGGGGGCCGGCTGCTCTTGCCCCTCTGTGGCCATGAAGGGTGAGGTAATGCTGGTGCTGTTGGCCCTTAAGTGAAGACTTGAAGGTAGGAAGGTCTAACTTCTGCCTTCGCAGAAGGCAGAAAAAAGTTTTTTTATTTTTTTATTTTTTCTTTATTTTTGAAACAGAGTCTCACTCTGTCACCCAGGCTGGAGTACAATGGCGCAGTCTTGGCTCACGGCAACCTCCGCCTCCCAGGTTCAAGTGATTTTCCTGCCTCAGCCTCCTGAGTAGCTGGGATTACAGGCACCTGCCACCATGCCCAGCTAATTTTTGTATTTTTAGTAGATGCAGGGTTTCACCAGGTTGGCCAGGCTGGTCTCGAACTCCTGACCTCAGGTAATCCACCCACCTTGGCCTCCCAAAGTGCTGGGATTACAGGTGTGAGCCACCGTGCCCAGCCAAAAAATTTTTTTTTAATTGTGGTACAATACACATGACAAAATATTTACCATCAGTGATATATTTATGTATTCATGATATTGTGCAACCATTACCACGATCCAGTTCCGGAACAGTGTCATTACCCCAAAGGGAAAACGTGTACCCATTCTCCCCTCCCCAGGCCTCTGGAAAAGACAAATCTGTTTCTGTCTCTATGGCTCTGCCCATTCTGGGCATTTCATATGCATGAAATCATACAATATGTGGTCTTTTGTGTCTGGCTCCTTTCACTTAGCATAATGTATTCAAGGTTTATCCATGTTGTAGCATGTATCACGGCTCCATTTTTTTTTTTAATTTCTGAATAATATTCCATTGTATGGCTGTACTACACTATCCATCCATCTGTTGATGGGGGATTTGAGTTGTTTCTACTTTTTGGCCATTACGAATGATATTGCTGTGAGCATCCATGTACCAATTTTTGTCTGACTGCTTGTTTCTAGGTGTTTGTGTCTATACCTGGTTGTCTCCATGTCTTTTGACTTTTAAAGTCAGCCATCAGGAGGAACTCCTTTCTAAGAGAACAGAAAGGTGATGGGACTGTGGCTGCCTCGGGAGATGGAGGCAGAGTGCGGCCCTGCAGGAGGGAGATGTGGAGACCATCTTTGCCACATCAGCCACATTAGGAGATGGGCCTGGTGGCCCCAGTGCCCTCCTCCCCACCTCTTTCAGCATCTCATGGCCCTTCACGGCTCAGTATCAGGGTGCCTCCCACCTTCTGTAAGGTCCTGAATTTCCTCGTTGCGGGAGACCTCGTGGTCATCAGTGCCTTGCGGAGAAGGGACGGCATCATTATTGCTCTTTCCTGGGTGGGACACTGAGGTTCACAGGTTGGGTCCACTGGCTCTCCAGCTCCTGTAAGGAGTGGTCTCCTCACTGCCCAGCCCTCTCACCAGAACGCACTGGCCAGCTCTCAGGCTGTTAACCTCCCCAGCAGGTGTTTGCCGTTCAAGTCGGGTAGTATTGGAAACAGAAACCTCAGAGAAGTGACTGTTGATGCTGACATTTCAGACAGAGGGATGGTGAGGCTAGGGTGGAGGTCCGTATCGCCGTAGACGGACTGTGTGAAGCCCTTCCAGTGGAAAACCCCATTCATTGCGCATCCCTCAGGACAGGCGCTGCCCTAGGTGCTGAGTTACGTATTGTTACCCTCTCCGTCGTCTTCCACAACTGGGCTCATATTATCACCCTTCGTTTCACAGATTCGAGAATAGCCTGGTGAGTCAGTAGCCTGTGGTCACATGGCTGTCAAGCGGTCCAGGCAGGATTGGCACTGAAGGCTGTTTGAGCCTGAGGGCTGTTTTCGCTGTGCCTGTGGGTTCCTGTCTCCTGCACCCCTTTTCTGACCATGTCAATATTTGATCCTTCCTATTTCCTCCCAAGTTATTTGGATAAGTACCAATATGGCTTTCCCATGTTTGATTGAAGGAGAAACTAGAATATTTCACTCAAGGGGAGGACACCTGGCATCTTGCCCCTCTGGTTCTAGAATCTCTTTCATCAAACACTCATGCCTGTAGTTGTATTTTTTTGTTCTTTGTTTTGAGACAGGGTCTCACTCTGTCACCCAGGCTGGAGTGCAGTGGTGCGATCACAGCTCACTGCAACAACCTCCTAGGCTCAGGCAATCCTTCCACCTCAGCCTCCTAAGTAGCTGGGACCACAGGCGTATGCCACCACACCCGGCTAATTTTAAAAATTATTTGCAGACGGAGTCTTCCTATGTTGCCCAGGCTGGTCTCAAACTCCTGGGCTCAAGCCATTCTTCCACCTCGGCCTCCCAAAGTGCTAGGATTACAAGCGTGAGACATTGCACCTGGCCCTAACCCTCAGTTTTAATCCCCTGACCCCCCACCCATGCCGACTTTATTTCTAATCCTATTGGACAGAATGTTCATCTCCTGTGCATGGGATACTTCTCTTTCTCTCAACATGCACGCGCGCATGCACACGCACACACACGCACACATGCACGTTGTTATAATCCTATTTGTCTTGCATATATTTTGGCTATCTTCCAATCCTGGAGAGTCCAAAGCAGTGAGAGGGCCCAGGTAAACCTGCCCAGATGTGGGCTTGTGCTTACTGGACATGCTGGTGAGACAGCAACCTGCGACCCTGGTGGGATGCCACACCGTGTTGATCCTGGCTGCTGTCCACCTCACTGTCTCCTGCTGTCTTAGAAGACAGTCTTCCATACGGAATCAAACGGGCACTGCAGGTTAGCAGGTGTAGGAGATGGAGCGTCCAGGGCATAGGGGAAAGCTTTTAATTAAGTTGTGAAAATGCATTGTGAAACTTACACCGCAGCTACGCAGAGGGCAGAAGGGAGGCTGTGTTTACTCAAAGTCCCCGAGCAGCTCAGATTTACTCGTTCCCTCCAATGACATGCAGGGCACTACGGGAAGCCACGGCACGTGGTTTTGCAACCTTCACAAAGCGTGAGAGTAGCCTGGGAGCTGTGTGTCTCTGCTGCTCTCTTTCATTCTGTTATCTTGTTTTCCTAAGCGGGGGTCACCAGGGACCACCACTATGGGCACAGCTGGGGGATACTGAGGACATTTGGGAGCCGATTACCTTTACTGTTTGTGAACAGTCCCCTGGCTTTGCTGAGAAATTCATGGCTACTCTCTTCGTATGGCTACAATTCTGATTTTAATCAATTTACTTCAAAAGGCACAGCAATCTTACGGGCTAATTTGGACTCTCTGTCCTAATTTTAAAATGTTCTTTAGCTAACAACTTTTATTTCTGTGTTTATGGGAGAAAATTTAGGGGGAACAGATATGTAGAAAGGAGAGTATAATAATTGCCTGTAATCCCAGCACCCAGGGATCGTGGCTGTTTTTTGTTTGTTTGTTTTTATATTTTTGTTTGTTTGTTTTGAGATGGACTCTCACTCTGTCACCCAGGCTGGAGTGCAGTGGTGCGATCTCTGCTCACTGCAACCTCCGCCTCCTAGGTTCAAGCAATTCTCTTGCCTCAGCCTCCCGAGTAGCTAGGACTACAGGCGCACACCACCACGCCTAGCTAATTTTTTGTATTTTTAGTAGAGGTGGGGTTTCACCGTGTTGCCCAGGCTGGTCGCGAACTCCTGAGCTTAGGCAATCCGCCCGCCTCGGCCTCCCAAAGTGCTGGGATTACAGACGTGAGCCACTGCGCCCGGCCATGGTTGTTTTTTTTTTAGCATCTGTCTACTAGATATCTAGTTTCTTTGTATGTCATATACATTTTTCTCTGATTTGTTTTTTAACGAAAAGTAATTCTATACATGGTTAAAAGAATTAATTGCACATAAATGCATACAATGGGAAGTCAGCGTCTGCTCTGTCTCCGAGTCCTCGTTCTTTTTGCCAGAGTGATCTGGACCCTTGGCGAGAGAAGCTCCATCCAGCTCTTCATGGATTCTCAGCATTATTATAGAATGTTTTGCATCTGGCTGTGGGATGACTTGCATTAATTACTTCTGCTAGGTTTGCACAGCAAGCCTGGGGCCTTGTCTGCTGCTGTGCTTCGTGGTCTGGGAATTTCAGGCTTCAGATTTCACAATGGGAGGTGGTGGAGTGACAGGGCCCCCTTGCAAGCTCAGCACCCCGTGAGTGATTTTCTAGGGGGCCGTGGAGAAAGTCTAGCTCCATTAGCTGAATGGCATTTTCCTCTCTGCTCCCAGAGGAGCTGTCCTCTGTGCAGGGGCTCTGAATGCTCAGGTGCTTCTCACTGCTCATGCTCACGCAACCCCGGAGGTCACGTGTGTGCTGCCTCTGACCTCAGGGGTTTATGGGCCGCAGACTTCCCAATGTCACGCTACTGTAGGGTGAATTCATCAGCCTTTGCCTTCCTGGTTTAAAAACTCTTGCAAAAATGCCAAATGGGTGTGACCTTTTCTTTCTTCTCCAACAGAAGCCTGGAATGGTCCCCCCTCCGCCGGGAGAAGAAAGCCAGACGGTCATCCTTCCACCTGGCTGGCAGAGCTACCTGTCGCCTCAGGGCCGGCGGTACTATGTCAACACGACCACCAATGGTGAGTCCCGCTCGGGGGAGAATCCTGCACCAACCCCCTGGCATTCTGGCTCTCTAGAGGGGCACGTTTTTTCTCCCTTCTTCGCCTCTCTGTTTGGGGGTTTTTTCTTCTTAAGTCTATGCTCAGGGGCTACAGTAAAGTCTTACTCCTCCCACTGTGCTGGGTGGTAGGGGTGCAAGTCTGGGTCTGTAGTTCTGGGAGTATCTTGGAAGGAAGGCTGCCCTTTATGGTTTGAGTCTTCCTTGGACCCTGACGTCCACCCTGGGTATCTGTGTTAAACCCAACCTGTTCGTCTGGGGCTGGGTTTTCTGAAGGGTGTCTCAAAAGGTTCTATGGTCAACAGCTGGCTTGAATAAAATGAACGAGGCAAAGTCACTGCATGATGTCTTGGAATTTTGAAGGTTTTAATGATCTTGAAGCTTCAATACAGGGGTTGCAAATGCGAGGTTTCCCTAATTTCACTACAACGTCATCTTTTTCCTTAAGTATCTCACTGGCTGGCATTTCTCCAGATGTTTTTTGGGAAATGCCGGGGGTGCTTATGGGTTATTTATCCCATCAAATAGTACAGGTTCCATGTGCATCTGAGTTGAATAGGACCACACCTCAATGACCCCAATAATTAGGGACCTCCCAGGCCTTCAAATGACCCCAGGATCCCCAGAAGTTTGCTGTGGATGGTTTATAAAAGGGGATGCACCACGTGGCAGGTTCTGTAACAAGGTGAGCAAAGGGCACTGTTGCAGGCTGTGGTCTTGGGCAGGGCAGGACAGGGTAAACCAGCTGAACAGAGCTGTGTCTTGACCTCCGTGACTCCCCAGAGAAATTGCCATGAGAGAACTGAGAGGATTTAAACCAAGGAAAGTTAGATTTAGTGGGAATCACAGACATGCGTTCCAAGGCAAAAGATGAAAATCGTACCCAAGTCCACTGCTGGCTCAGCCTTGGCCTCTCACTCCTCTGTGCCTGCCTGACTACATGACCACCCCTTCCCACCTGGGGGTATCGTTACTACAGCTGATGTTTATAAGCCTGCACCAGGAGGGGGTCCTAGTGACAGGGGAGCCAGCTACTGTTTAGCAGAGACACAAAGAAGGCAGCTGGTTTATTCGTATCCCCTGGCAACCTGACCTTCCACAGGCTCAAGAGGGGTGTTCTAGCGCAAGAGGTAATGAAGTTTCTAGGAAAAGGGAAGTAGGACTATTTCTGACCGTTCTAATCTTACACTTCCTCAAAACAAACACATGAACAGCTTTGCACTGTTACCGGAGACTTGAAATTTCAGAGGAGAGTGTGTCTATGTATGCAACACCCATCTGCCAAACACAGAATTTGGACCGTAGGATCATGAGATCATCAATTATTTGGGACAACATTGGATCCAAATTATTGGAAGGTCAGGTTGCTAGGGGATATGAATAATTTGGATCCGTTATTGTCCCAAATAAGCTACTCTATTGCAAAGGGGCATGGGGGGAAATGGCTTTCTGAATTTCAGCATCTTTATCTTTTTTTAAGTTAGAGACTAGTTTGTTTTCACGGTAAAAAATTCAGTAAGTACAAAATGATTTCAAATAAAAAATAATCCCCGGTCTCACCTTTTAAACATATGTATACTTATTCTTTTAAAATAAATTGGAAAATATTGTCTATGTTGTCCTTTAAGTTACTTTGACAGTGTATGTGGACATCTTTCTATACTTTGTACATTTCAGTCTAACCCATTCTTTTAAACAGCTGTGTAGTAATCCATCGCATGGGTATGCTATTAATTTCACCTGCACTCTATTAATTTAAGTCATATTTTATATCAATAGACAGTGTCTGGCAGCTTTTTTCTGGGACTCAGACTTTAGCAGATGCCACTGGTGACAGCTTTCTTATGGGTCCTGAGATATTGTGATCCCACAGAGGCTCCAGGCCAGGGGTCAGTGAACTTTTTCTGTAAAGGGCCAAGTAGTCAGTATGTAGGCTTTGAGGGTCACATGGTCTCCATCCCAGCCACTCAGCTTTACTGTTTCAGCATGAAAGCAGCCCTGGATGATAGGTAAACAAATGAGTGTAGCTGTGTTCCAATAAGACTTTATCTATGGATCCGAAAATAGGAATTTCAGATGACTTGTGTGTGTTATAAAATATCATCGTTCTGGCCAGGCATGGTGGCTCATGCCTGTAATCCCAGCACTTTGGGAGGCCGAGGCAGGTGGATCACTTGAGGTCAGGAGTTCCAGACAAGCCTGACCAACATGGTGAAACCCCGTCTCTACTAAAAATATCAAAATTATCCGGGTGTGGTGGCGGGCGCCTGTAGTCCCAGCTACCCGGGAGGCTGAGGCAGGAGAATCGCTTGAACGCGTGAGGTGGAAGTTGCAGTGAGCCGAGATCACGCCATTGCACTCCAGCCTGGTGACAGAGCAAGACTCCGTCTGTCTCAAGGAAAAAAAAAAAAAAAAGTGGAAGATGATTTTCGTTGGCAAGTTCACTGGGCCATATGATAGTTGGTTTGACCAGTTGGTCCCTTGGACCATAGCTGCTGGTCCCTGCTTCAGGCTGTCTGTTGGCTCCACAAGGACTTGTCCTATTTGCCCTTCCTCTCTTTATTTATTTATTTATTTATTTATTTATTTATTTATTTATTTATTTTTTTAGACAGGGTCTCACTCTGTTGCCCAGGCTAGAGTACAGTGGCACAATCATGGCTCACTGCAGCCTCAACCTCCTGGGCTCAAACACTCCTCCCATCTCAGCCCCCTGAGTAGCTGGGATTGCAGGCATGTGTCATCACGCCCGGCTGATTTCTTTATTTTTTTATATTTTTTATTTATTTGAGACAGGGTCTCACTCTGTTGCCCAGGCTAGAGTGCAGTGGCACGATCATGGCTCACTGCAGCGTTAACTTCCTGGGCTTAAGTGACCCTCCCACCTCAGCCTCCTGAGTAGCTGGGATTACAGGCATGTGCCACCACACCTGGCTTTTTGTATTATTATTATTATTATTATTATTATTATTATTATTATTATTATTTTTTGTAGAGATGTTTTGCCATGTTACCCAGGCTGGTCTTGAATTCTTGGCCTCAAGTAATCTACTGGCCTTGACCTTCCACAGTGTTGGGATTACACTATGCCTAAAAACAGTTTTTTTTGTTTTGTTTTTTTTTTTTTTTTTTTTTTGGTAGAGACAGGGTTTCAGTATGTTGCCTAGGCTGATCCCGAACTTCTGGCTTCTACTTCTGCTTCCCAAAGTGCTGAGATTATAGGCATGAGCCACCGTGCTCGGCTCTCTCCTCTTTTATGCTAAAAATAATTCCAGCACCTACCTTGGTCTTACATTCTAGATATATGCCAGTTTTATTCATTACTTGTTTAACTCTTTTTTTTTTTTTTTTTTTGAGACGGAGTCTCGCTCTTTCACCCAGGCTGGACTGCAGTGGCGCGATCTCGGCTCACTGCAAGCTCCGCCTCCCGGGTTCATGCCATTCTCCTGCCTCAGCCTCCCAAGTATCTGGGACTACAGGTGCCTGCCACCACACCTGGCTAATTTTTTGTATTTTTAGTAGAGATGGGGTTTCACCGTGTTAGCCAGGGTGGTCTCGATCTCCTGGCCTTGTGATCCGCCTGCCTCGGCCTCCCAAAGTACTGGCATTACAGGCGTGAGCCACCGTGCCCGACCTTAACTTATTGTTTATCTGTTTGATTGAATCATTCCTTCAACACATAGTTTGAGCCTCAAATATGTACCAGGCAGAGTGAGTCTTGGGATACTGGGGATTTAATAAGAACAAAGTCTCTGCCCTGCAAGTGTTTATCTTCTTATAGTGGGAACAGATTTTAAGTGAAAACCTATTTGATCAATCAGGAAAGGGTTGTGAAGCAGGAGTCCAGGGTGTTTTAAGAGCATGTCACAGAGAGACCCTGGGGAATCAGGGGAGGCTTCCTGGAGAAGGAAGCTGCAGGATGGGAAGGGTAAGGAAGGGCTAGGGGATGGGGAGTGTCTTACTGATGGCAAAGAGTCAGCTGTGTTTGTAGGGATCATGCAGCCCATGAACATCATATTAATAATTTTGCTCGGCAGTCTAAGGGAGAAGGAAAGCAGCTATCTTTCTGATTCTCCTCTGGAATCGTTTCTTAGACTTGTTTTGTTTGGCTGTAGGGATGTTTTAAATATATTTTAATCTGCCTGCCTTTCTGCAGGAAGGCATCTATGAGAATAGCCACTCATGTTTTTCTTACCTCCTGACTCCTGGAGGCACCTGAGCTTGTGCCTCCTCACTGCTGGGCCAGCTGCATCTATCTGCCTTTCTGCCTGGCCCCTTGCTTAAGCATCTTTGCTCTGTCGCTCTCCAGGTGGCATTTCATCCACATGCTAGCCCAGTGCCCAGAAAGTGCAGTCCCGGTTCTAAGCAGGCCATTCTTCTCTTCCTCTTTGTCTGTCTACCTTTCTTCCAGACGCTTCTAGTCTTTCTCCCTTAATCCCTAATCTCTTCTTTTCCAGAGGGTGCCTGGGGATAATAGGTGTTCTGTCCCCATTTTTACACCTATAACCAGTTGAAAGTCTAATTTACATTTGTATTACCTTGCCTTGGCTAATCTGCTTCTTTTCTTTTCTTTTCTTTTTTTTTTGAGACAGAGTCTCGCTCTGTCGCCAGACTGGAGTGCAGTGGTGCGATCTCGGCTCACTGAAACCTCCGCCTCCCCGGTTCAAGCGATTCTCTTGCCTCAGCCTCCTGAGTAGCTGGGATTACAGACATGCGCCACCACACCCAGCTATTTTTTTGTATTTTTAGTAGAGACAGGGTTTCACCATGTTGGCCAGCATGGTCTTGATTTCCTGACCTCATGATCCACCCCTCCTCAGCCTCCCAAAGTGCTGGGATTACAGGCGTGAGTCACCGCACCTGGCTGGCTAATCTGCTTATTTTCACATCCATTTAGGATTTTATGGATGAGGTTGTCACTGTGCTAGCCACTGAGCCGGGCTCTGGGGATCCAAAATCAAACTAGATGCTGTCTGTGATCTCAGAACCTGCAGTTCTAATAGGGCCAGAGACACATATAAACCTATAAGTGTTACAGGTATTCGTGTGGAAATCTGGGGGCTCGAGGAAGGGAGTAGTCAGCTTGATCTGGGTATTAACCAAGTCTTTGCAGGGGGAGGGGGCGGCCTTGACTCAGGCATTCCAAGCCAAGGTTACAGCATGAGTAAAGACCAGGCAGGAGAGAAAAACAGCGGATGTGTTTGGCATTGGTTAAGGAAGAAAGAGGTGAGAGAGAGAGTCAGGGGCCTTGGGGCATTTTGAGGAGTCAGGTCTTTATCCTGTAGGCAGCGGGAATCCATGGGAAATTTCCAGGCGGTGGCGTGACATGATCAGAATATTGTGGCAAGGCTGCTTGTGCGGCAGAGCGAAGGCTTTAAGGCCGGTAAGCGTGGAGGCCGACAGACTAAATGAGAGGAGAAATAATGAGGTCAAACACCAATTCTACAGCAGTGGCTGGAGAGGAGGAGGTAGAATCTGTCAGACAGGATGTGGCTGTGGCAGGTCAGGGATTGGAAGTGCCTGGATTCCTCCGGGTTTTCTGCCTTGTGTGATGGGACCATACAGTGAGTATAGGGTATTCAAGGGAGGAACAGGTTAGGAAGAAAGAAAAATGAGTCCATGCTGAGTGTGTGGTTCCCTGGGGTGCGTTCTGGGAGAGATGGCTGGCATTTGGATGGCTACGGTGTGACTTAGAGGACTTCTGAGCTAGAGATGGGAACTTGGTGAGCCATGTGGGTACATGGCCTGGCCACTGTTGCGCAGTGACCAACCTGCCCAGCCACAGAGGGTGGCCCAGGATTTGTGTTTCATCAGCAGAGAGGTGAAGTGATGAGGATGTAGAAGATCACCCGGGGCCTTGCAGCACAGGTGTAAGGCAGCAGCCAAGGAGACCTTGAAGGAATTGTCAGAGATACAAGGAATCCAGGAGAAGGTAATGTCATCAAAGGCAAGGGAGAATAGATAGGGAGGGGTAGTCAGGGACAGACTGAAATATAGATCAGGTTTATGATAAGAGTGTTGTTTTAAATCACTGGGGAAAGCATGGATTATTTAGTAAACGGCGTTGGGCCAGATGGCTAACAGGAAGTTTCAGTGGTTAATGCAGTAATGCCGTTGCTTTCATATAAACTTGCCAATGCCATCAGAGCATGCTCCGTGGACTTTGGGAAGTCCCCATCTTTCTTGTGGCTCTCTGGAAATTTCATCATGCAGAGTGGCCTTCAGTTCAGCCCCAGGAACTCCCAGGGTTTTGGTATCAGGAAATTGCTTGTCTTGTGCTGTCCAGGGAAGCTCTCCATTCCCACCAAAAGTTGCCTGTGTTGCTAACGGTTTGGGATAGTGAGCTATTATCAATAGCCTACCCCATCCAGGGACCTCAGCTAGTGTTAAGGAGACTGTCTTAGTCTGTGCAGGCTGCACTAACAAAAAGCCATAGACTGGATGACTTATAAACAATGGAAATTTATTTATCACAGTTCAGGAGGATGGGAAGTCCAGGATCAAGGTGCTGGCAGATTTGGTGTCGGGTGTGGGCCTGCTTTCTGGTTCATAAGAACAGCTGCATTCTGACGTGGTGGAAAGGACAAACAAGATCCTCTGGGTTTCTCTTTTTTTAATTTTTTTTTTTTTTTTTTTGAGACAGAGTCTCGGTCTGTCACCCAGGCTGGAGTGCAGTGGCACGATCTCGGCTCACTGCAACCTCCATCTCCTGGATTCAAGCGATTCTCCTGCCTCGGCCTCCCGAGTAGCTGGAACTATAAGTGCCCGCCACCACGCCCGGCTAATTTTTTGTATTTTTTAGTAGAGACGGGGTTTCACAGTGTTAGCCAGGATGGTCTCGATCTCCTGATCTCGTGATTCACCTGCCTCGGCCTCCCAAGGTGCTGGGATTACAGGCGTGAGCCACCGCGCCCTGCCTGGGTTTCTCTTTTAATGGCACTAACCCCATGATGGTGGAGCCTGCATGACTTAGTCACCTCCTAAAAGTGCCGCCGCTTCATACTGGCACATGGGGAATTAGGTTTCAACACGTGAATTTGGAGGGGACACAAACATTCAGACCACGACAGGGACCTCTTATTTATACAACAAATAATTATATTTCAAGAGATATAGCACAACATTTTTTGCTCCATTTATGATTGAAAGGTCGGCTGGGTGTGGTGGCTCTCACCTGTAATCCAGCACTTTGGGAAGCCGAGGTGGGCAGATCACTTGAGCCCAGGAGCTCAAGACCAGCCTGGGGACCATGGTGAAACCCCGTCTCTATTAAAAATACAAAAATTAGCCGGGTGTGGTGGCGCACACCTGTAGTCCCAGCTACTTGGGAGGCTGAGGTGGAAGGATCACTTGAGCCCAGGAGGCAGAGGTTGCAATGAACCGAAATCACACCATTGCTCTCCAGCCTGGGTGACAGAGCAAGCCACTGTCTCAAATAAATAAATAAAATAAAAATATAACTGGAAGGCCAGGCATGCATGCTTCTTCACTTAATATAGTCATAGGTATTCAGGCCCTCTTTTTGGAGAGATGCTGACCTTTTAGATATGTTTAGGATACATTTTACCATTTGGACATTAGGGATATTTGAAGCCAGTATAGATAGATGGCCAAGATTAGTTTAGTTTAATGTATTAGTCAAGATTTTACTTCTTATTTATTAATCTTTTTATACTCTAAATCCAGTAGTTTTATCTGTGCCATTCTTTTTTTTTAAACAAAGAGTACCATTTGAGATGGTATCTTTTGTTTTTTTTTTTTTTGAGATGGAGTTTCACTCTTGTTGCCCAAGCTGGAGTGCAATGGTGCAATCTCGGCCCACACAACCTCCACCTCCCAGGTTCAAGCGATTCTCCTGCCTCAGCCTCCCTAGTAGCTGGGACCACAGGCATGTGCCACCACGCCTGGCTAATTTTGTATTTTTAGTAGAGACGGGGTTTCTCCATGTTGGTCAGGCTGGTCTCGAACTTCCGACCTCAGGTGATCCACCCGCCTCGGCCTCCCAAAGTGCTGGGATTACAGGCATGAGCCACCGCACCCGGCCTTGAGATGGTATCTTAACCCTTTCTCCCCCACTATAAAGCAGAGCCTGATGCAAGGATTGAGTGTTAACACCTTATTTAGGAGGTATCAGTACAAAGTGGTGAGGGTAGGTATGCAAGGGAAGGAAAGCCAAAGAACAATGCCAAGTGATGCTGGCTGGTGTTTGACAGTGAAATGCAGAGTCCCAGCCGGTCACTTAGTGGATATGTTCACTTCTGGAAGGGCTGCAAGGAGGAGCCGTAGCCTGGAGTAGTCTGCAGGAAAGCAGAGATGTTTTATCTACTCACCTCTGTCTTGTCTCCTATTTCACACTGGCCAAGCCCCTCCCCTTGCACAGCTATTTCCCTACACATTTGGTTTGTACCATCTGACTCCTACCAAGCTCTCAGAAAGCCAGATTCCACCATGCAGAGTGATGCTTCATCCAAGCCCAAGGCAGTGGTCAGCAGAGCATGAGTGAGGTACCAAGCAAAACAGAAGGTGGCTGTTGATGGAACTATGAAGAGTCCAGTGCCTGTGTCCCTAGGCAGAGACTCTCCTAGAACTGAGTGCTGTGGTGAACATCTGTTTCCACCCTCAGACCTTGATAACTTGATCTTTCATAAAAGTGGGTTGCAGAGGCTAGTGATTTTGCTTCATAATCATCCTAGGAGGAAACTTCTAAATCCTCTAACTCAGGGGTTGGCAAACTGTGGCCTATGGGCCAAATTCAACTCACAGCTGTTTTTGTAAATGAAGCTTTCTTTATTGGAACACAGCCATGCCCTTTTGTTTACATATTGTCTATGGCTGGTTTTGCACGGAGATTGTAGAGCTGAGTACAAGCTGTCTCCAACTTAAAATGGTTGGACTTAACGATCTGACTTGGTGTAAAAGTGATACTCATTCACTAGAAACTGTACTTTAGTTCAGTATTCAATAAATTACAAGAGATGTATAACACTTCACTACAAAATAGGCTTTATGATAGATGATTTTGCCCAACTGTAGGCTAACGGAAGTGTTCTGGGCACGTCTAAGGTAGGTGAGGCGAAGCTATAGTATTCAGTAGTTTAGGTGTAATACATGCATTTTTGACATACAATATTTGCAAGTTACAATGGGTTTCTCAGTATATAGCCCTGTCATAAGTTGAGGGTATCTGTAGTTGCAGCAGAGACCACGTGGCTCACAAAGTGAAAATATTTACTCTCTGACCCTTAACAGAAAAAGTTTGACAATACCTGGTTTAAGAAATAGAATCAGGCTGGGCGCGGTGGCTCATGCCTGTAAACCCAGCACTTTGGGAGGCTGAGGCGGGCGGATCACCAGGTCAGGAGATCAAGACCATCCTGGCTAACACGGTGAAACCCTGTCTCTACTAAAAAAACACAAAAATTTAGCCCGGCGTGGTGGCGGGTGCCTGTAAGTCCCAGCTACTCGGGAGGCTGAGGCAGGAGAATGGCGTGAACCCAGGAGGTGGAGCTTGCAGTGAGCCAAGATCACGCCACTGCACTCCAGCCTGGGCAACAGAGGGAGACGCCCCCCCAAAAAAGAAAGAAAAAAAAAAAGAAATAGAACCTGTTTGTTTTACATATATAGAAATGAAGTCCCTGCATGGTAAAGGGACTTGATCCAAGCTATCTGGTCATTTATAAGCCAAGCTGTGACCAGACTGCCCAGTCTTCTAATCTTTTCTTTTTTGCCTCAGTATTTGGAGGAATGGGCATGGGTGGCAGTGACTTAAGTTGGAATGAGAATAACTGAGTTTGTGGATTAGTAGATAAAGAAAAATAATCTGAAATAACAATTTTTTAAGGGAAACCTATGCATCTTTTTAAAGCATGAACCCAAGTCCAGGAGAGTTGAAAATTGTTTTTAAGCTTTTTTATTTTATTTTATTTTTTTAGTTGACTTCCTGGGCTCAAGTAATCCTTCCACCTTAGCCTTCCAAGTAGCTGGGACCATGGGCATATGTCACCACACCAGGCTACTGGAAAAAAAAAAGTGTTTTATTTTTTGTTTGGTTTTTTTTTTTTTTTTTTGAGAAGGGGTCTTGCTATATTGCCCAGGCTGGTCTTGAACTCCGGGCTCAAGCAATCCTCCTATCTTGGCCTCCCAAAATGTTGGGATTACAGGCATGAGTACCACACTCAGGCTTTTAAGCTCTATAGATTTATAGATCTATATCTATAAATGTGTTATGTTTGTGAGCGAAGCTTGGAGGACTAAACCAGGATGTGAGCTTTTGGATTCCTTTGCCAAATAGTAATTTTCTTGATTTCTTGCTTTAATTTTTCTTTAAATGAGTGGATTCCCATTTAACTTTATTATGCCAGGAACTAATGTGAGTTTCTGGATAAGTTTTCCAGTAGAACACTTTTTTTTTTTTTTTTTTGACGGAGTCTCGCTCTGTCGCCCAGACTGGAGTGCAGTGGCGGGATCTCGGCTCACTGCAAGCTCCGCCTCCCGGGTTCACGCCATTCTCCTGCCTCAGCCTCCCAAGTAGCTGGGACTACAGGCGCCCGCCACTACGCCCGGCTAATTTTTTTGTATTTTTAGTAGAGACGGGGTTTCACCGTTTTAGCCGGGATGGTCTCGATCTCCTGACCTCGTGATCCGCCCGCCTCGGCCTCCCAAAGTGCTGGGATTACAGGCGTGAGCCACCGCGCCCGGCCCCAGTAGAACACTTTTAACTTTTCTTTGTTACAAATAATTGGATCCTTTTCTAACTCCCCAAATAGAATGAATGGCCCTGATAATTCCGTGTTAATAAAAGTTCCTCTGAGAAGGTTCTGTACCCAAAAACATACATCTATTTTTTTCTGTCCATCTGTGTTGAGCAAATGTGAGACTAAAAAGATGTGCATGTGGTACATTTGGTTGATTAAATTAGGGTTGCGTGCGTGTGCGTGTGTGCGTGTGTGTGTGAGAGAGAGAGAGAGAGAGCGCCAGCCTAATTTATATAAAGCCTAATTTTGGCTTTATTATTTTTCTTTAATGGATTCTTAGTGGAAGGCTGTTAGAGCTTAAAGCTTCCTATTAATCCGCTTTGGTGTGGGTTTTGTTTTCTCTTCCAGGATATCCGTTCTAACATGTAATGTTTAGGTAATACTTACGTGCATAACACACCCCTCATTTTTCACCAGTGTTTAAGGCCAATAATCTCCCATTTGTGGCAAATGCCAAGTGGCTTAAAGTCAGTCACACTGCTAGTATGAAGTTGAAGACCCACACAAGTAAAAAGACAAAAGAGACAGATTTTGTTGTTTGCTCTATTCTAGGAAGTTGAGTTACTTTGCAAGACTGTTTACTGGTAAACAGTGTGAGAGCGTTCCTCACTGTCTGTTAGCTGGAGTCAGTGATTAGCAGCATGTGGTTCAGATATGGAAGTGGAACAAAAACAAATGTGTAGAATAGGATCCAGAAATCTTCTAGAATATTCAGTGACCCAGAATATTCCACTCCTAGCTGTATACCCAAGAAAATTAGAAACACACGTCCACACAAAAAGTGTGCATGCATGCTCAGTTCAGAGGAGCATTATTTATTATGGCCAGCAGCAACCAAAATGCCCATCAACTGATGAATGGATAAACAAAATGTGGTTTTAGCCATACAATGGTATATTATTCAGCCATAAAAAGGAATGAAGGTGCTGGCTGATACATGCTACAACGTGGATGAACCTTGAAAACATCACAGTAAGTCAAAGAAGCTAGACACAAAAAGCCGTGTGCCATATGATTCTGTTTATATGAAACGCCTAGAATAGAGAAATCCACAGAAAACCACCCTGGTGGTTGCGGGGGGGAGCTGGAATTAATGGCGAGTGACTGCTGATGGGTACAGGGTTTCTTTTTGAGACAATAAAAATGTTTTAAAATTAGGTAGTGGTGCAGGTTATACAACTCTGCAACTACACCAAAAACCATTATATTATATGCTTTTAGAGGGAGAATATAATGATATGTGAATTATATTGCAATAAAAGTGTCATTAAAAACAGGCTTGTGTGGGCATGGTGGGCGTTTATGACTTTCTTGGCATCCTTTAGAAACTGTTCTTTTTTTTTTTTTTTTTTTTTTTTTGAGACAGAATCTTGCTGTGTCTCCCAGGCTGGAGTGCAGTGGTGCGATCTCAGCTCACTGCAACCTCTGCCTCCCGGGTTCTAAGGGATTTCTCCTGCCTCAGCCTCCCGAGTAGCTGGGATTACAGGTGCCCACCACCACGCCTGGCTAATTTTGTATTTTTAGTAGAGATGGGATTTCACCATGTTGGCCAGACTGGTCTCAAACTCCTGACCTCAGGTGATCCACCAGCCTCACCCTCTCAAAGTGCTGGGAATACAGGCATGAGCCACCGTGCCCGGCCTAGAAACCATTCTTTAGACGTCTTGGTTAGGGAGTCTTTCTGTCTGATTGCCAAACTTTGGTGGGTGTCAGAAATACCTCGGAAATTGAGTTTGTTTAAAAAACAAAACAATACGCAGATTCTATCACAGACCTTCAGAATCTATTTGGAAAGAGAAAAAATGTCAACTTTATATTTTTCAAAGTTTTCTAACAGTCACCACCTATTTTTATTTGCAAGGACACTGTGTAATAATAAAATGGTGGAGGCATAGTCAAATATGATTAAGTTGAAGAACAAATTTAAATCCAATTTCCTCTTATAGAAATTTAATGAGAAAACACAACTTCTTTAAATAGGTAAACATGTATCGTAGCCCCAAGGTTAAAGGTTATATAATCATAAACAATTGTAGAATCTCATGGTGGAGCTATTGAAGACAAACAACTCAATTTTATGGTGACAAGACTTAGAATGAGTATAAAACTGCCAAGAAAGGCCCTTCACCTGGCCAGTGTTTATATTCTTAAGTGTCATCAGCGTGGCTGACTTGTGTATATTTTCCAGCCTTTATTCCTGTCTGTATAAGAGGATGTAATGGCAGGTCTTATAATTTCAAAGCTTTAAGGTCAATAGCTCAAAAATTGTTTGGATCTCAGCATTTTTGCTATTAAAAAAAAATACGCATGCACTCTGCTTTCAACTTAGCTGAGGCTAAGTCAAAGAATTTGGGGCGGCCGGGCACGGTGGCTCGCGCCTGTAATCCCAGCACTTTGGGAGGCCGAGGCAGGTGGATCACGAGGTCAGGAGATCGAGACCATGCCGGCTAACATGGTGAAACCCCATCTCTACTAAAAATACAAAAAATTAGCCGGGCATGGTGGCAGGCGCCTGTAGTCCCAGCTACTCGGGAGGCTGAGGCAGGAGAATGGCATGGACCCAGGAGGTGGAGCTTGCAGTGAGCCGAGATCGCGCCACTGCACTCCAGCCTGGGCAACAGAGTGAGACTCTGTCTCAAAAAAAAAAAAAAAAAAAAAAAAAAAAAAAGAATCTGGGGCTTGTACTGTTTTCATTTGTACATTCTGCTTAGCACCCTGGCATCCGGACAAGATGAACAGCATTCCTGCCTTCAAGGAACCTAGAGTCTCGTGTGCAGCAGTTCAGGCCTTGGAGGTTTGGAGGAGTTGTAAAGTTTCTTCTTTCATTTTTCTCTTCTATGGAGATCTTTAGACTGGGGCATCCTAATTTGCCTCTACTTTGGTTAGGATGAGTGTGCTGGCCTGTAGTCACTTGTCTCTTTACCATTCATTACATGGCAGAGCCCAGTGGCTTAGTGGAGTCCAGGCACTAATCCCATAGCAGGATCTCTACCAGTCATTAGATCAACCAGTACTCGTTAATTACAGGCCAAAGGAAGTACAGGTCCACTGTGCATTGTGTACCTATCAGGAATGACTTTTGCTTGATTTGAACTCTTTTTGAAAAGTGCTGGTCTGTGATTACTGGACTCCTAGGGAAATGGCATTATAATGTTTTGGGGATGGCAGGGAGGTGGCAGGCAGGCAAGGTCAGGACCTCTGGAATCCAGGAGAGCTGTCTTGCAAAGACACAGGGAGGGTAGATGTCACTTGCTGGATTGTCATTAGACTAGAGACTGTCAACAGAAGCTTCCATTCTGTGAACACAGTGCTTAAAAATGTTGTTAGTTTTCAACATTGAAAAATTGGGAGTTTTTTTCGTAAACATCTGGATATCTATCTTCTTTCAGAAAATCGTGAGGTGTGGCCCCACCAGCCCCACCTTCCTGCATGAACACAGCTGGTTGGGGCTGAGAAGGTTACCACTACCTGCCATTTTTTTTAATACTCAACTGGGCTTCATGCATGTGTTTTCCGTGTTTAGTTCTGTGGGTGTCTGAGTTTGGGCCCGATGAAAAGAGGGTGCCTGGTGATTTTACATCAAGTATTGCGGGTGAGGGTGGCATCAGACACAAAGTCAGGAAGATATATATATATATGTGTGTGTGTGTGTGTGTATATATATATGTGTGTGTATATATGTGTATATACATGTATGCATGTATATACATATACATACATGTATGTGTGCACACACATGCATGCGCGCACATACACATACATGCACACGCGCACATGCACACACATGCATGCGTGCACATACACATACATGCATGCGTGCGCACACACATGCATGCATGCGTGCGCGCACACATGCTGGTATGCGTGCACACGCACACACATGCATGTATGCGTGCACACACGCATGTATGCGTGCATACACACATATATGTGTATATATATGTATGTATATATAGAGAGAGAGAGCGAGAGAGAGAGATGAAGTCCTGCTCTGTCGCCGAGGCTGGAGTGCAATGGCGCGATCTCAGCTCACTGCAACCTCTGCCTCCCGGGTTCAAGCGATTCTCCTGCCTCAGCCTCCTGAGTAGTTGGGATTACAGGCATGCGCCACCACACCTGGCTAATTTTTGTATTTTTTGTAGAGACAGGATTTCACCATGTTGGTCAGGCTGGTCTTGAACTCCTGACCTCGTGATCTGCCCTCCTTGGCCTCCCAAAATGCTGGGATTAGAGGCACGAGCCACCGTGCCCAGCCTAGGAAGACATTTTATGAATGAAGTTGGAAATGAGAGATTATGAAGGGGACCAAGCAAGAGAATAAAAAATCTAGGGCGAGCAGACTTATTAGTCAACAGGTATGAAGCACCAGTTTCGAGAGGGATCTTAAAACCCATCCTACTCTGCCTTTTTTTCTGGGGCTTTTATGTGTGTCCAACATTAGCGCAGGAAGCTCTGCCATTCTGGGGCTTGTGTGGAGCCTGTGGGGTGGGGTGTGGGAATGGGAACCTGTGGTGCGGCGGGAAGTTTTGGGCTACAGGGAGGATCTGTCTGGATGGACATAACCAGAGTGAGCTTTTAAAGGGTTAGGTCCCAGCGAGTCAGTGAAACTCCTAGTATGCATTGAAATGATCTGTAGGTTATATTCTAATAAGTGAGTGGGCAAGGACCATGTGAATTGATTATCAAGTAACAAGTATTTGCTAAATACCTTCCCTGTGCTGGGCTCTAATTAACCACTTGGATGGCTTCTTGCGGGGGTGGTGTGGGCGAACACAATGCGAATGGCTTCTTGTTTGCAAAGACAGAATGCTTCCTGAAGTGGATATGAGATTGTTAAAATGAGACTTTCCTTTGGGTTGGAGTTCATTTCCTTTCCTGCCTGAGTATTGTGCTGAAAGTCCTTTCCACCTCTAAACACCCTACGAGGCTGTGAGTTGCCACTCCTACGAGCTCATCACCCACCAGTGTTTGAGACGGTGCCTCCCTATGCAAAGCTGGCATGAGGTCCCATCGATGAGATTGTTATTGTTGGAGGAAGACCTTGGAGTGGGGTAATAGCTTTTTTGTTACTTCATTCTGAGTTGGATTCCAAAGTAGGTAGCACTCATCCAAGAGGTGTAGGAGGAGGAAAATGGGGTGAGAAGTTAGTCATGCAGGATGCTGTTGTTTACTACCTGCCCACTCCCTGTGAGCACTGTGCCCAGTGGCGCAGAAGGGGAGCAGAAGGGGCACTGAGATGGCATGAGGGTCTTGTCATCCTTGGACAGATGATGCGCCGTGCTGTGCAGGTAGCAGGCACCCTGGATATTTCTGTGGCATGAAGCTTCTGCCCTCTTGCCAGCTGTGGTTAATGCCTATCTGCGTGCCCAAAGATACCCTCAGCCCCAAAAGAGTCGCTTCTGTGAGGTCAGTCGAAAGCCAAGCCATTTATTGAGTGGTCTGCCAGAGGGATGAACTATTGGAGTAATATGTTGGGATAGGGTCCTGCTCCCACTCTGAAAGCTTGGCCAGATTGTGGGGACCCCATGGGGGGCCTTGGTGGCTGGTGACATATGGAGTGGGAAGGTCGGAGCAAAAGCAGTTTTCCAACTGGTACAGACAATGTCACTGTTTTCATAATCAATATTACTGTACTCATGGGCTTTGGGTGAACACCTGCATGGACTTGTGCTGTGGTTGGAGTATGGCTATCCTGTGCTTTCTTTACTGCCCCTCTGGGCCATGCCAGACACCTGCGGTCTCTGCTGCGGAACCCCCAGGCTCCTCTGTTTCTCATTTGTCCAGACTTTCTCATCCCCAGATCAACTTCCAGGTGTTAGGTGGACCTCTATCCAAGCCTCCTATCACCCCCAGCCAGCCCCAGCCTTCTGCTTCATGTTACGGGTTGAGTTGTGTCCCACAAAAGATGTCCAAGTTCTAATTCGCCAGTGCCTGGGAATGTGATCTTATTTGGAAATAAGATCTTTGCAAATGATCAAGTTAAGATGTGGTCTTCCAGTGTGGCAATTCCTCAAGGATCTAGAACTAGAAATACCATTTGACCCAGCCATCCTATTGCTGGGTATATACCCAAAGAATTATGAATCATGCTGCTATAAAGACACATGCACACGTATGTTTATTGTGGCGCTATTCACAATAGCAAAGACTTGGAACCAAGCCAAATGTCTAACAATGATAGACTGGATTAAGAAAATGTGGCACATATACACCATGGAATACTATGCAGCCATAAAAAAGGATGAGGTCATGTCCTTTGTAGGGACATGGATGAAGCTGGAAACCATCATTCTCAGCAAACTATCGCAAGGACAGAAAACCAAACACTGCATGTTCTCACTCATAGGTGGGAATTGAACAATGAGAACACTTGGACACAGGGAGGGGAACATCACACACCCGGGCCTGTTGTGGGATGGGGGGACGGGGGAGGGATAGCATTAGGAGATATACCTAATGTAAACGATGAGTTAATGGGTGCAGCACACCAACATGGCACATGTATACATATGTAACAAACCTGCATGTTGTGCACATGTACCCTAGAACTTAAAGTATAATTAAAAAAATAAAAAGATGTGGTCTTCCTGGAGTATAGTGGACCTATATCCAATATGTTGGGGTCCTCATCACAAGGAGGAAATGTGGACTCAGAGACAGACACTCATGGAGGGAAGACGCTGCGAAGGCACAGGGAGAAAGCCATCTACGAGCCAAGGAATGCCCAAGGCCACCACAAGCTAGGAGAGAGGCCTGGGACAGATTCTTGGAAGGAGCCAACCCTGCCAGTATCTTGATTTCAGATTTCTGGCTTCCAGAACTGTAACAATACGTTTCTGTTCTTTAAGCCACCCAGTAATGTGGCATTTTGTTATAGCAGCCCCCTGGAAACTGACACACTTCCCCCGCCCCACACTAGTGGTTATCTTTGAGCACTGATAGCTAAGCAGTGGTATCGTGTCCGCTAGGATGCTGTAAACAGGTTGCAATCTGTCCCCTACATTTCAATACCCGGCATGAGGTTCAGGTGGCATGAGCAGCAGGAAGGGTGGCTTGTTTTCCCATTGCCTTGCCAGGCCATCGGTGAATGTGGGGTGCAGGCTCTTGCTTAGAAGAGCTGTCTTGGTGGCAGTTCCAAGAGAGATGGATTTTTTTAAAATTATGTGTTTTTGTTTTTTGGTACAAGCTGCAGAAAAGAGGGACTTAAAAAACAATTAATTTCCAAATACTTTTGATCCTTCTCTTGGCTGCTCTGAACCATACCAGAGAGGACTTGGCTGAAGGTCTTGCCTGCAGCTGTGCTGTTTCCTGGTTATGTTAAGCTCTTCCTTGCATTTCCAGAATCCTGAAATTGCAATTCCCCCATCTCTAAAAGAGAGAGTTGGGCTAGTTTTTAAAACCTTTCAGGCTCTGTATTTCCCCTGAGAGACAACCCTGATGGCCGCTGCAGGGGAGCGCTCAGCTCCTGCCTCCACTTCCCTTTTTTCCCCGATTCCTGCTGGCTGGGTGTCTCCCGGCAGTGAGACGACACCTCATCAAGTTGGGGAGAAGGTGCTTGTTCACAGTGCTTCTTTCCAAGGCATGGGATTAGGGAGGGTTTTATTTCCTCTTTTTACTTTTCTGTTTTCCAGTGTTTCTTCCCTGGACCTGTATTACGTTTATAAGTAGGATAAAAATAATTTCTCTGAAATAGAGGAGAGGGCTGGAGCTTAGCACCAAGACTTTCTTTTGCTTCCCATTCCCTAGCATAACCCTCTTGCTCCTCTGTTTCTCTTGATCTTTCTCAGATTTCTGTTTTTATTCGTGTCCTCTTCCCTCTTTCCTGCTCGAATCTTCTAGTTGTATTTTGGGGTGTTGCTACGTTAAACAAGTGGTCTTATGTTCTGGCCATCAGGGGTTTGTTCCAGGGCCAAGCTGTGTGAACGTGAACCTGAGCCTGAAAAGGCCCAGGGCTTTGTTTGTTTGTTTGTTTTTATATGATACAAGGAGCATCCAACAATGCCCAGCCCGTGTGCTCTCTGCCACTGGAGAAGGAGTGTGCCAGGCTGGAAGGCAAGGAGATGATGACTCCTTGTCTCAGACCAAGACTTCGCTTGCTTTCTGCTCCTGGTATATACAAATGGTATGTGCTGATTGGGTAGATGGGTGCCACTGCAGAAAGGTACGGAGAAGACAGAGCAGACGCAAAGCCTTGGGAAGCGGAAGAACAGAAAGGGCCAGGGGCACATGGTGATTTTTGAATGCTGCGATCCCACCTAGCTGGCTCCACTCTTTCGTATGAAGAGTAGATTCTTATAACAAGGTGTGCAAACGCAGAACTTTCTTCACTAGCAGAATTTAGAGACAGAGATGAAAATCTCAAGGAACTTTCATGACGACCTGAGTATCTGGGAACCTGGCTGATTTCATGACTCTCAGTGAATCTGCCCTGTTGCGTTCACTCTTCTTTTCCTAGATCTCTCTGACCAACCTGATGTCATTTCTGTAGTTTTCATCATTACCACCCGTTTGGAGGAAATGGTGCAGGCAGAGGGTGCTTTCAAGTCAAGAGTAATTGGTGGGTTGTTTTGATTCTTATGCCTTTCTTTTAAAGGGTCCTACCTCCAACACCTGGATAAAGGTAGCACCTGGTGCAGAGAAAACCCTGCCCTTTGTTGCCTTCTAGACCAGTGTTTCTCGAAGTGTGGTCCCCAGACCAGCAGCATCAGCGTTACCTGGGAACTTGTTAGATGTGCAATTTCTCAGGCCCTACCCCAGACCTACTAAATCAGAAACTCTAGGGGTGAGACCCAGAAATTTGCATTTTAATGCTGCCTCCAGAGGACTGTGATGCTTATATCACACAGCATCATAGGACTGGCTTGAAACTGACCATCTCAGTATGAAACAGACCAAGTCTATGAAACAGACCAAGTCTTAGTCAGTGCCTAACAGCTGCAATCTGTTTTAACCAGTCCTTCAAGTGATTCTGATGCGCTCTGACGTTTGAGAAGCGCTCCTTTAAGGCTGCCCCTGTTCCTAGCATCTTACCATTCCTCTGCATGGATGAAGTTTTCAGTCCTCTTTGCAGGGAGGTTTTTAAACCTCCTGCAATTTCCCAAGGAATCTTATTTCCTTATTTCCTTCAACTATAAGATGCTGCCTAGTTCTGCTTCATTTTGTGTGATCTTCTCTATCCTGAATGCCATTTTTGACGTTTGAGAATAGCTTTTTTTGCCCAGAATTTCTATACATGTTTTACAGTGCTGGTTCATGATAAGGACTTTTTCTGTGTGCCTGAAGGAGCCGTGGGGCTAAATGGCCATCCTCTTCCTTGGGAATCCAGCAAGTTTACAAGTGGCTTTGTGGCCACACCTGAGAGATTATTGCTGATTTCTATTTTCCAGAATAGCCTCACCTCTTTCTATTTCCCCCAAGTCCTGTGAAAAGCAATACTCAGTGATTTTGAGCATAATTTTTTTTTTTTTGAGGCAAAGTCTTACCCTGTCACTTAGGGTAGAGTGCAGTGGCACAATCTCGGCTCACTGCAACCTCTGCCTCCCCAGTTCAAGCAATTCTCCTGCCTCAGCCTCCCAAGTAAGTGGGATTACAGGCATGCACCACCACACCCAGCTAATTTTTGTATTTTTAGTAGAGACGGGGTTTCACCATGTTGGCCAGGCTGGTGTCGAACTCCTGACCTCAAGTGTTCCACCTGCCTCGGCCTCCCAAAGTGCTGGGATCACAAGCATGAGCCACCGTACCTGGCCTTTAGCATAATTTATACACATAAAGTCACACCTTTTACTGGAAAGTCTTCTATATACAGATTAGTTATGCGAGCAATTGAAGTTAATAAAGGCCGAGTTTCTCAGAAAACAGCAACAAAAAGTTGATGCATAAGCGGAAAAATGCCATTTATGGGAGAAGTTTCGAAGCAGTTGTGTGGTATGATTTTCCATGGAGAGATTATGGAAGCACTGCTTGGAGCCTGTTAAAAAGCTACAGTTCAACATGGTCACCGAAGAATTTTCCAGATGTCAGTCTAATGGCCTCTGGGCCTGTGTTTGCCATTTACAGGGCAGTGTGCTTTGATGGATGTCCTTGGGCAGGGAGTGTCTTGTTATAGGACTAGAAACCCGCTCATACTAACTTATGAAAAAAGGGCATTTATTAGAGGGATATGGGGGCATCTCACAGGAATGCAGGCGTAAGGATGGGAAAATCAGGTGCCAAGATTGATTGTCCTAACTGTGGGACCTGGTGATGTCTGATGCTACTTCTTTTCCTTCCCTTCCCTTCCCTTTTCCTTTTCCTTTTCCTTTTCTGTCTTTCTGTCTTTGTCTGTCCTTCTTTCTGTCTTTCTGCCTTTTTTTCTTTCTGTCTTTTCCACTTTTTAAAATAGAGACAGGGGTCTCACTATATTGCCCAGGCTGGTCTCGAGCTCCTGGGCTCAAGACACCTACCTTGGCCTCCCAAAGTTCTAGGATCACGGGCGCGATCTTTCTCTGGGTTCTCTTCATGCATCTTTCTCTCCGCAGTCTTGCCTTTTCTTCTTCAGCAGCCATTTGGCAGAAGTGGCCACTCATCGTGGAAGAGGACCACCCCAAGTCCTGTTCTATACAACTCTTGGCAGGTCCAGTAGCAGTAGCCAAGTAGTCACGCCCATAGCATGTGTATCCAAACTGGGATTTGGGCAGTTCTTAGAGAAGAGTCTTGAACATGTGTAGTTGGATATTGTGAAATATATATTTGGTCTTCCATCCAGCTCCCTGGCATAAACCTTGGAATCTCCAGAATGTTAGTCTCTTGTTTGCTAATGAGATGATGGGTGTCTGGGATCCCCTAGGCAGCTTCAGGATGGCAGCTGGTCACAGGAAAGACCAAGGCATGCTTAGAAGGTTGGAACTTCAGCGCCTACCCCACAAACCTCTGGGGAGAGGAAAGAGGCTGATTATCAATTCCCAGTGATGACATCAATCGTGTCTATGTACTGAAGCCCCCGTAAGAACCTAGAAAAACAGGGTGTAGAGAGCTTCTGGTCAACTGACCACATGGAGCCTGGGGAGTGGTGCCAGGAGAGGGCATGGAAGCCCTGTGCCCCTTCCCCCATCCCTGGCCCTGTGCATCTCTTCCATCTGCCTCTTCATCTGTATCCTTTGTCATAGCCTGTGTAATAAGTGGGTAAAGGTTAGTAAAGCGTTTCCGTGAGTTCAGTGAGCTGCTTTTGCAAAGGAATCGAACCCGTGGAGGGAGTTACAGAATCCCTGATTTATAGCCTATCTGTCAGATGTGTAGGTGACAACCTGCTGCTTGTGATTGGTGTCTGAAGTGGGGAGTAGTCTTGTGGGAATGAGCCTTCAGCCTGTGGGATCTGATGCTATCTCCAGGTAGATAGTATCAGAATCGATTTAAGTTGTAGGACACTCTGCTTGTGTCCGCTGGAGACTTGCTGGCTAGTATGGCGGGGAAAACTCCCATATACCTGATGTCAGAAGTGTTGAGTGATGTTGGGTAGAGAGTAGGAGAAACAGTTTAGTTTTTCCTATGTTATCAGATGTAGCAAATGGTTGTCATTTTTTATGTTTTATTATTCTGACTGTGATTTTTAAAACTCCACTTAATAGATAAATATGCCAATCTTTTCCTTTTGTGATTTCTGCCCTTTGAGGCCACACTTTAAAAGGTCTTTACCAATAAAAGATGGTAATATTTTCTTCTAGCAGTCTTATGGACTGTTTCCACCGCCCCCGCCCCCACCCGCCCGGCCCCTTTAAAATATTAAGCCATATGGAATTTAATTTCTGAAAATGAATGAGAAAGGGACCTACCTCAATATTTTTCAAGTAGTTCTCCCATCGTTCAAATAGCATTGACTGATTCAGCCTTTCACCATTGCCTTGAGAAGCACCTCTTTACCATACGCTAAACTAGTCTGGCTGAGTCTGTTTCTGGTCTTTTTCCCCTTGGTCTGTCTCTCTGTTCCTACACCAAGTTTTGTCTGTTTTCTATCATGGAAATTTCTCATAGATTCAAATGGGATATACTATAAAAATATAGTCTTCTGGCCTGGCGCGGTGGCTCATGCCTGTAATCCCAGCACTTTGGGAGGCCGAGGTGGGCAGATCACCTGAGATCAGGAGTTCGAGACCAGCCTGGCCAACATGGAGAAACTCTGTCTCTAATAAAAATATAAAAATGAACCTGGGTGTGGTGGCGCATGTCTGTAATCCCAGCTACTCAGGAGGCTGAGGCAGGAGAATCGCTTGAACCTGGGAGGCGGAGGTTGCAGTGAGCCAAGATCACGCCACTGTACTTCAGCCTGGGCGACAGAGCGAGCCTCTGTCTCAAAAAATAAAAAATAATAAAAAATATATATATATGTGTGTATATATACACACACACACACACATATATATATAGTCTTTTTTTTTTTTTTAAATTATACTTTAAGTTTTAGGGTACATGTGCACAGGTTAGTTACATATGTATACATGTGCCATGTTGGTGTGCTGCACCCATTAAATCGTCATTTAACATTAGGCATATCTCCTAATGGTATCCCTGCCCCCTCCCCCCACCCCACAACAGGCCCGGGTGTGTGATGTTCCCCTTCCTGTGTCCCTGTGTTCTCATTGTTCAATTCCCACCTATGAGTGAGAACATGTGGTGTTTGGTTTTCTGTCCTTGCAATAGTTTGCTGAGAATGATGGTTTCCAGCTTCATCCATGTCCCTACAAAGGACATGAACTCATCCTTTTTTATGGCTGCATAGTATTCCATGGTGTATATGTGCCACATTTTCTTAATCCAGTCTATCATTGGACATTTGACTTGGTTCCAAGTCTTTGCTATTGTGAATAGTGCCACAATAAACGTACGTGTGCATGTGTCTTTATAGCAGCATGGTTATAGTCTTCTTACTTTGGTTTCATTTTTAAGAAAGAACCAGCATCAAATGCTTCATGTGTATTCTTTCGGCACATTTGCCTTGCATATACAAGCACAGACATTTTATTTATGCCCTTTTGTTAAAGTGAGAACCTTTTGTACACGTAGTGTGTTTTGGAGCCTTTCACTCCAGCACTCATGCACTTCAGCAGCTCCACAGGATGCCACCCTGTCGATACATCATTGTCCCCTGTTGGTGAACATTTAGGTCACTTCCCAAGAGTCTTTTCCCTCTAATGAAAAGTGCTCCACAAAATACCTTCATACTTACATTATTGCACACCTAAAGCTATTGTTAGGTCAAAAGACACGTGCATTTGGGCTTTTGATGGATATCTCCAAATTACCTTTCACAGACAGGCATTCTCACCTGTTTTTGCAGATCCTGGTTAGATAGGGGTTATCAGTCACAAAGGAGGTTATTTTCCCCATGGGTGAAAACATAGTATCTTACAGTCTTAACTTGTATTTCTCCAATTTTGAATGAGAATGAGTATCTTTTTTTTTTTTTTTTGTTATTGATCATTTGCAATTGTTTTTTCTGTAAATCACCTGTATATGTTCTTTGCTCTTTTTAAACTGGGCTGCTCACTGATAGGTAGTTCATACCACACAAAGGGAATAGAGGCTTTATCTGTCTCCCTGGCCCCCTTCTTGGTCTTTCCCTCGTCTCTTTATCTTTCTTTTTATCTACATGCATATACACATGTATCTTTAAAAATCAGCCATCAGCCATGTTACTGAACATAATTCTAATAGTTGATTTGAGCTGAGTCTTCCTTCATTTATCAATTACTGAGTGTCCTTGGTGCCCAGGAGACAGGTCCACATTTATTCAATACAGTCACAACCCTCAGAATACATCTGGTGGGAGGGATAGGTATGAAAGCAGGGGATGTAGCTGAGGCAGAAAGAGATTCTTCTTCCAGCCAGCCTGTTAGCTCCCTAGGGCAGAGACGATACTGTGAGCCCCCCTGCTGCTCCCCAGTGCTCAGAAAGTCTGAATGAATTGACAAGGAGCACAGGGACTGGACTGTTAGGCCACCTGGACTCTTCCGTTGCCACGTCACGGTGAGAATAGCTGGCTGCCTCACTTTCCCTGTCAGCTCCAAACACCTGGGAACAGGATTGCTTGAAACTTGTCTTTCCTGCCCTCTAACTCAGGACTTGGCCCTCAGGGGCTTAAGATAAGACTTTGGGAAGGGGTTGTTTGTTTTTTTTCTTGTAAATTTGTTTGAGTTCATTGTAGATTCTGGATATTAGCCCTTTGTCAGGTGAGTAGGTTGTGAAAATTTTCTCCCATTTTGTAGGTTGCCTGTTCACTCTGATGGTAGTCTTTTGCTGTGCAGAAGCTCTTTAGTTTAATTAGATCCCATTTGTCAATTTTGGCTTTTGTTGCCATTGCTTTTGGTGTTTTAGACCTGAAGTCCTTGCCCATGCCTATGTCCTGAATGGTAATGCCTAGGTTTTCTTCTAGGGTTTTTATGGTTTTAGGTCTAACGTTTAAGTCTTTAATCCATCTTGAATTGATTTTTGTATAAGGTGTAAGGAAGGGATCCAGTTTCAGCTTTCTACATATGGCTAGCCAGTTTTCCCAGCACCATTTATTAAATAGGGAATCCTTTCCCCAATGCTTGTTTTTCTCAGGTTTGTCAAAGATCAGGTAGTTGTAGATATGCGGCGTTATTTCTGAGGGCTCTGTTCTGTTCCATTGATCTATATCTCTGTTTTGGTACCAGTACCATGCTGTTTTGGTTACTGTAGCCTTATAGTATAGTTTGAAGTCAGGTAGCGTGATGCCTCCAGCTTTGTTCTTTTGGCTTAGGATTGACTTGGCGATGTGGGCTCTTTTTTGGTTCCATATGAACTTTAAAGTAGTTTTTTCCAATTCTGTGAAGAAAGGCATTGGTAGCTTGATGGGGATGGCATTGAATCTGTAAATTACCTTGGGCAGTATGGCCATTTTCACGATATTGATTCTTCCTACCCATGAGCATGGAATGTTCTTCCATTTGTTTGTATCCTCTTTTATTTCCTTGAGCAGTGGTTTGTAGTTCTCCTTGAAGAGGTCCTTCACATCCCTTGTAAGTTGGATTCCTAGGTATTTTATTCTCTTTGAAGCAATTGTGAGTGGGAGTTCATTCATAATTTGGCTCTCTGTTTGTCTGTTATTGGTGTATAAGAATGCTTGTGATTTTTGTACATTGATTTTGTATCCTGAGACTTTGCTGAAGTTGCTTATCAGCCTAAGGAGATTTTGGGCTGAGACAATGGGGTTTTCTAGATATACAATCATGTCGTCTGCAAACAGGGACAATTTGACTTCCTCTTTTCCTAATTGAATACCCTTTATTTCCTTCTCCTGCCTAATTGCCCTGGCCAGAACTTCCAACACTATGTTGAATAGGAGTGGTGAGAGAGGGCATCCCTGTCTTGTGCCAGTTTTCAAAGGGAATGCTTCCAGTTTTTGCCCATTCAGCATGATATTGGCTGTGGGTTTGTCATAGATAGCTCTTATTATTTTGAAATACGTCCCATCAATACCTAATTTATTGAGGGTTTCTAGCATGAAGGGTTGTTGAATTTTGTCAAAGGCCTTTTCTGCATCCATCAAAAAGTGGGCAAAGGACATGAACAGACACTTCTCAAAAGAAGACATTTATGCAGCCAAAAAACACATGAAAAAATGTTCACCATCACTGGCCATCAGAGAAATGCAAATCAAAACCACAATGAGATACCATCTCACACCAGTTAGAATGGCAATCATTAGAAAGTCAGGAAACAACAGGTGCTGGAGAGGATGTGGAGAAATAGGAACACTTTTACACTGTTGGTGGGACTGTAAACTAGTTCAACCATTGTGGAAGTCAGTGTGGCGATTCCTCAGGGATCTAGAACTAGAAATACCATTTGACCCAGCCATCCCATTACTGGGTATATACCCAAAGGACTATAAATCATGCTGCTATAAAGACAGATGCACATGTATGTTTATTGCGGCATTATTCACAATAGCAAAGACTTGGAACCAACCCAAATGTCCAACAATGATAGATTGGATTAAGAAAATGTGGCACATATACACCATGGAATACTATGCAGCCATAAAAAATGATGAGTTCATGTCCTTTGTAGGGACATGGATGAAACTGGAAATCATCATTCTCAGTAAACTATCGCAAGGACAAAAAACCAAACACCGCATATTCTCACTCATAGGTGGGAATTGAACAATGAGAACACAGGGACACAGGAAGGGGAACATCACACTCTGGGGACTGTTGTGGGGTTGGGGGAGGGGGGAGGGATAGCATTGGGAGATATACCTAATGCTAGATGATGAGTTGGTGGGTGCAGTGCACCAGCATGGCACATGTATACATATGTAACTAACCTGCACATTGTGCACATGTACCCTAAAACTTAAAGTATAATAATAATAAATTAATTAATTAAAAAAAATAAATAAAATTACAATAAAAAAAAAAAGACTTTGGGAAGGAGGCCAGGCCCTGCTAGAAACACCTCCCCGACTCCTGCTGCCTGTGCCCACACACTGGAACCTTCTCCCCGGAACCTTTTCCCTCCGGGCTTCCCTCACTGCAGCACTCACTGCTTTTGTGCCTTCTCCTTTCTCCTCATCTTCACCTATTCTAGAAAGACTCTGAGGACTCAGTCATGCTCATGGGTTTGTGGCAATCTCTTCTAATTCATATAGCACCCCTGGGAACTCAAGTAGGTAGCAAAGACCCATGTCAAAGCCGCGGCTCTTAGAAGGTTGGGGTAACATCTGGGGGGTTCCTTAAATTACTCTACATTGCTACCATGTACCTTGCCTGATCCTAAGTCTAACCCACTCCCTGGGGCTTTTGTCTGGGCCCAGGTACCTCCTGATCCTTGGCTGGGTTCCGTGACCGTCCTGCTATGGACTATACTAGTTTTCCCGACATGTGGTTAGTCACTGAGATCGCTTGATAAAAATGATGAGTTGAGTTCCTCCCAGCCTACTCAACCAGAAGCTCCAGGTGTGAGGTCTGGGCACCAGTATTTCTAACAAGTGGCTCCAGTAGTTCTGGTGAGTAACTGGATTGGGAAATGAGACCAGAGCTTTGCCAAACACCTGTGCTTAGGTTCTGGATCTGGAGCATCCAGGCTTTGGATTCGATAAGGTGTCTTCTCAGTTTCTCAACCATAAGATGGGAGTCATATGCGTGAGCTGGCAGTGGGTTACCAGCACCTGTTGTCTCGGTGACAAGACATATTTCTCCAACATTGCAGTCAACCTTCCTTGCCCTTCAACCCAAGTTTGGGTCAGTGATCGTCTTTTAAATGCTCACAGATTCCCGGTGTGTTTGCACGGGTCTACGCTCTGTAAGGAGGCTGGTAGATCAGGGATCCTAATGGGGATTGAGAGACAGGCTTGGACAGCTCCAGGCAGCACCCCCTACTCCCTGCGACCCTTCGAATTCCTTGGCTATTCCTGGATTCCTGGCCCTGCTCTTTCACAGGCCCTCTGTGCAGGCTGGAGCCAGACCAGAGCTTGGTTCTGGCAAATATCAAAGGGCCAGGACACTGACGGGGCCTCTGCTTCATCCCATCAGTAACACAGTTTCTGTATCATCTGTGAAATGGGCACAGGAGCCCCTGCTCCCCACCAAGATTGTAGGGCTGCCCTAAGAATTTTGTAAGCAGCTGTGAGTGGGAAGTTGGGGACCACTCATAGTGATGTTTCCCTGGTTAACTAAGGGATAGCCTGACACTGCAGCAATGCTAAAGAAGGCATTCTAGCCCCCCTTCACCCCTAGCACCCCTCTTTTGGGAGATGTGCTCCTTGTAGGCATCAAAAGGAGGGGTGAGGCAGGGATCCAGCTTCTGGGGTAGAAGTTGGGAAGCAAAGAAGAGGAAGGAAGGAATGGAGGTGGTTTTAGTTTTTTGTTTTGTCTTATTGTTGTTCTTAGTGTCTGTGAGTGCTTACTCTGTGTCAGAAACTGTGCTAAGAGCTGTATGTACCTCACTGAGTCCTGTCCTCAACACCAGGAAGCTGGGACCCCTATACTGCTATCCCGTACTTTACAACAGGGAAACCGAGGCCAAATAACATGGTCCTTGTTAAAAGGAATAGATCTGGGATTTTTGAACATCTGTCTGTAAGATGCCAGCGCCAGAGCTCTTAATAACGGATTCTCAGACCTTAGAGTATACCACAATCACCCAGAGGGCACCCAGCAGGTTCCAGATAATGCTGATGTTGCTGGTCCGGGAACCATACTTTGAGAACTACTGCCCTGGATGATCCAATCTGGCCCCCATTACCTCTGAACTCATCTTCTATTTTCCCTTCCCCACAATTCCTCTTCAGCCACACTATCCTCCTTGCTGCTCTCTATGATGAAGGACATGCTTCTGCCTCAGAACATTTTTATTTTATGTTCCCTTCATTTGGGATTCTCTTCCCTCAGATATGTGTGTGGCTTGCTCCTTCCCTCTGTGATAGGAGCCTTCCAAGATGGCCCCCAACACACTCACCTCCTGATACACTCCTGTGTCATCCCTTTCTACCTTCCCTCCTGGGTGGTCCCTGAGACTAATAGATTGTGGCAGTCATGATGGAGTGTCACTTTTGAGACTAGGTTGTAACAGACATTGTACCCTTTGCCTTGCTTTCCCCTGGCTCGCTCGCTCTGGGCGAAGTCAGCAGCCATATTGTGCAGAGCCCGTGGCAAGGAACTTTGGCTCCTGCCAGCATCCGTAGGGCGAGCTTTCTTCTTTTTTCTTTTTTTTTTGAGATGGAGTCTCGCTCTGTCGCCCAGGCTGAAGTGCAGCGGTGCGATCTCGGCTCACTGCAAGCTCTGCCTCCCGGGTTCATGCCATTCTCCTGCCTCAGCCTCCCCAGGAGCTGGGACTACAGGTGCCTGCCACCACGCCCGGCTAATTTTTTGTATTTTTAGTAGAGATGGGGTTTCACCGTGTTAGCCAGGATGGTCTTGATCTCCTGACCTCATGATCCGTCCACCTCTGCCTCCCAAAGTGCTGGGATTACAGGCGTGAGCCACCATGCCCGGCCAGGGTGAGCTTTCTTACAAGTAGCTCCTCCAGCCCCAGTCAAGCCTTCAAATGAGGCAGCACCCACTGACTTCCTGACCCCAAGCTCATGGGGGAACCTGAGGCACAATTGCCCAGCTAAGCCACTCTCTGATTCCTGATGTGCTAAAACAATATGAAATAATGAATGTTTGATGTTTCCAACTGTTAAATTGGGGGTAATTTGCGATGTAACAATAGATACATAATACATTTCTCTCAGATCTTCATTCTGTGTTCCTTTCTTGGTGAGGCCTTCCCTGGCCATTCTTAAATTACAGCTTCGTTCTCATAACACTTTCTATCCCCCTTCCTTGCTTTATTCTCCTTAGTGTGTACCAAGAGCTAACCTGATATGTTTTGCTTATTTTTTGTCTCCTGGCACAACTCCCTCCCCCAATCCCATTAGAAAATTTTTAAGTTTTCACTTATGGAAAATTTTATACACATACACATTTTATACACATGTGCATGTGTCTAAAATTAACTAAAGATGGAATGGCATAATGACCACTAGAATTTAAGCTGAAGGAGGAGGAGTTTAACCACTTATATTTCCTGCAATATAACCCCGTGTCCAGCACAGTGCCTGACACAGAATAGGCCCTCAAATATGTGTTGAATGAATAATAATAATATTCATATTGAGGATGATTCTCAAATAAAGGGTTGTTTATAGATTAAAATACACTGTTTTGCTGCAGCTCCCAGAGTCCCAGCCTAGAGCTCAGACACGGTGAGTGTGGCCAGAAAATGGTGGTCTTTGTTGTCAGACTGAGTTCCAGAGATGCCACTTCTCACTGAGGCCTCAGTTCCTTCCATTAAAAGTGGAAATGGGCCGGGCGCGTAGTCCCAGCACTTTGGGAGGCTGAGACAGACGGATCATGAGGTCAGGAGATCGAGACCATCCTGGCTAACACGGTGAAACCCTGTCTCTACTAAAAATACAAAAAAATTAGCCGGGCGTGGTGGCAGGCTCCTGTAGTCCCAGCTCTTCAGGAGGCTGAGGCAGGAGAATGGCGGGAACCTGGGAGGCGGAGCTTGCAGTGAGCTGATATCGCGCCACTGTACTCCGGTCTGGGCAACAGAGCGAGACTCCGTCTCAAAAAAAAAAAAAAAAAGGAAATGACAGCACCTATCTCATAGGTGTTTTGTGACCGCTGAAGGGGATGCCAGATGTGGAGGGGCTTGGCGTGACCAGGCGTAAATGGTTCTTCAGAGAGTAGTTTCTTTCCTGCAGAGAAACTGTGGTTGTGATTTAAATATCATTTAATTTTTTTTTTCGAGATGGAGTCTTGCTCTGTCACCCAGGCTGGAGTGCAACGACGCGATCTCTGCTCACCACAACCTCCGCCTCCTGGCTTCAAGCAATTCTCCTGCCTCAGCCATTTACTTTTAAGAGGGAATTTCAAATGTCTTGTAGCAATGGCTGTACTGGAAGGCATTGAAAAACCAGAGATGGAGGAAACTCTGGTGCGCAGGAGGGAACCAGGTCTCTGTGAACTGCTGCTTTTGTATTGGCCAAGGGAGATAAGCAGGGGCCTCCAGGAGAATGTGGCCTGATTGCAAATTCTGCATCTGCCTGGACCAAGGCAATGGGGCTCGCTTGGAGGACAGGGCAGCATAGCCTGGGGGCAAGCCAGCTTCTGGGTAGGAAGGGAGAAGGGCTGAGAAACGGAGTGGCAGGGCTGCCATCTGACTAGAAAAACCTGGCCATAGCTAGGCAGACCCTCCTTGTGAGGACTACAGGGCAAGGAGAGAAGCCATGGGTAGAGAGACCGCCAAACCAGGGCAAGGAAGAAAGAAAATTTGGTGGTGGGGGAGGAGGAGATAGAGCAAGTAGCACAGAAGGGTGAGTATAAAGAGAGGCAAAGAGGAGAAGACTGCAGGAATCTCAGATCAAAGTCAAGACCCCAGAGTCCATTTCCTTCTGCTCTGGTATCTGTGGTTATTTTACCTGATAACCACAGGGGGCAGCAGAGAGCCGGCACAAGCCAAGAAAAGTGGACGAGCCCCAGCAGGAGGCCACTGGGGGCCAGAGGCTTGTAGGTGGGCCCATGGCCAGTCACCATAACCAGTGGCTTAGGTCCAGGGGCTCCTTGTGGCTTTCCCACTGGAGCCCAATATTGCTAATGCAGGCAGGATGCAGCCTTAACAAGGGGAAATGAAGCCCGGAAGTGACTATTTAAAATTAATAACTTCCGCCTAGCTCACTGTTTTTAAAATTTATTATTATTATTTTGAAGAAGGGGCATCTGTGCTTTGAAACTCAGATTTACATAGTCTTCAAGCTTTCAACTGGTCTCTCACTTTACAAATTATTCATTCACTCACTCATCCATTCATTTATTCATTTATAGAGATAGGGTCTTGCTGTGTTGTCCAGGCTGGACTTGAACTCCTGGATCCTATTGCATCAGCCTCCCAAGTAGCTGGGACTACAGGCGTGTGCCACTGTGCCCAGCTGTCTTTATAAGTTTTATTCTATGTGGGGTAGACACTGGCATTCGCTGAGGAGAAGATTAACATCTTTGGCTCTTAGCATTAATGCTAAAATAGTACCTCCCTTAGACTGGTTTCATCCATGGCCAGTATATGGCTCTCTGGGTCTCAGCGGAAGAGGTCTGAATGGAGTTCTAGTTACCACTAGGAAAATATGTGTTTTGTGTGAATTAGGTGGGGTGGGAAGAGGCTCCCCGGGGCACATCTCACTTCTTCCACTCTGACCGCACTGTTCCTCCTAGAACCTCTGGGGCCTGTGTGGCCATGGCTCTGTTAGTAGAGTGTGGGCAGTCATCCGGGATGACCTAAGACCACAGGGATGGACGTCCAGAGAATGCAGAAGGGTCTCAATCCAGCATCTCTTGAGGCCTGGAGCTGCCGCTTCAGTCTTACTGTGACTTGGTCAAGGAGCCAGATGTGTTGTAAGCAGATTAGGGAATCTTGTATTGGAAAAGACCTGGACACGGCTTCCTCCCTGTGGGTAGTATGGTCCTCTGGGGTGACTTGTCCTGCTGCTGGTGAGGTCACCCAGCCAGAGCCCCAGTGGCTCTCTCCAGATGTCTGCCTGGCCTGGCCTGGCCTGGCTCAGCACCATCCCTGCCCCAGGCTCACAGTGTCTTTGTGTTATGGGTTGGTCAGATCTCGCCAAGACAAGGAGATGGACTGGGCTGAATCCTTCAGGCAGCTGCATCGTCCCTGATGGGGCCCATTTGGAGGTTAGAGGGGAGGGATATGGTACTTACGGAGACTCTAGCTTGTGGGGGGTCTGGGAGTTGACCAGGCCAGTGAGGGCAGGGAAAGGGGCCTCCCATCGGGTCCCCACATGGACAGCAGCATTCAGACTGCAGGCCAGCGTCCACCTAGGGTTTCAGAGCCTCCTGCAGCCCCCGGAGCTGCTGGCTGCTGTTCTGATTGCCTCTGTACTGGTAGTTCCCTTCATGGAGGGCTCAAGGATGGGGGATGGGGAGAGGAACGGGGACCAGCAGCTTCTCTGTTCAATAGTCCAGATGTTATTTTGGGTCCGCAGTGGTTGGTGATGGCTCGCAGGTAGTAGGCAAACAGTGATGGATGAATGGGTGCAAGGATGGAAGGAGTAGTCAGTGCATGAATTGTGACCCTCTGCCCCAACCAGAAGATCAAAGGTGGTGTCTGCACATCAGCTGGTGGGACTTCCTTTTAAAATAAGGTCAATGGTGTCAGCCACCAAAGGGGTGGTGGCAGCAGCACAAAGGGAAAGTTTTCTGGGACCTTTTCCCTGCTGTTTATTCCTGGAGAGCACATCAGGTGGGAATCTCTCTTGTGCTGTCACAATGTCCGTCTTTCTGTTGGCCCATCTGTCCTTGCATCCTTCAGGCCAGGTGCCGTATTTGAGAGGGCGAACCAGCCGTGGCTTCGACCCTCAAGGAGATAAGGTGTCAAGGTTAGGATCTGAGCTGTCTGAGGGATGGACAAAGTGCTGATTTCCTAGAAAAAAGCTGGATGGAATGTGTGTGTTGCAGGACTTAGGTCAGGTTCTCAAGAAGACTTGAGGCAGATTTACATGCAGGAGTTTCAGTAGGGTGTGTGCTCCTGGGAGCAACCCCCGGGGAAGGAAGGAAGCAGCATTGCAATGCGGCCACCAAGGAGGCCTCGGCAGCGCCGTGGGGAGCTCTGAGCTGGGAGGGGCCTTCAGAATTGTTTGATTTGAGACAAGGGGATTGGTGGGCCGTTGATCCCCTCTCACCCCAGTCATTAGATGTGCACCCTGCACCCCTACTCTAGGCATAGCCTTGGGCACGGCAGCTCTCTTTGGCTAAGGGCGGTTCCCTGAGAGGGACTCAGCTATGAGCCTCTGCAGCTAGAGAGATTTGGGTGGTGCACTACAGCACCCACTCTAGAGAGTCTGGGGAAGAACTCTTTGCAGGGAAGAAGAGCAATCTTGATAGGCTGCATGGTGGAAGAGACATTTTAGTTGAGACTTGATGAGTGAACAAGGTTGTGATATCCAGGGATGGGGGAGCAGGAGGCGGCAGGTATGGGTGAACAATACGGGAAAGGCGTATTTAGAGATCGGCGAGGCAAGTTAACTGGGCCTGAAGTGAAGCCAGTGGGATGTCAGTCTGGATGCAGTCAGGGTTGGGATCCTGGAGCACTTTGCCAGGAGGCCAGTGGACTTCGGAATTGATTCCGTGTGCCATGTTGGAAAGGAGCTAGCCAGGGATTTTCGCTGTGAAGTGACCTCCGGCGAAAGCTGGGCTCTAGGGTGAGTGGTCCACTAGCTGTGAGTGGACGGATTTCAAAAGGCAGGGAGACTGGCTCTGGAGTGACATGGAGAAGACAAGAGGAACGTGATGGAGGGGCATCTCCAGGCCCTGGGAACCAATTAGATATGAGGGATGGGACATAGGGTGGAGCTGGTGATGGTGAGTGAGCCCTGTCCCTGGTTGTCCAGGGGCCAGGGAACCCAGGAGACTCGGAGGAGAGGGTGGAGAGGGGAGCCCGGTCTTGACTCTGTGGATGTGAAGGCAACAGTGCGGCCTCCAGGCAGGGCTGATTCAACGGGCAGGAGAGAAGAGAAGCCTGCCTAGGAAGGAGCCTGAGGCTGGATGGTGCATCTGCTCCTGGGGATGCCCACCTCGCTGCTTTTGCTCATCGAAGCTCCACCGGGCTTGTCTGTCTGTTTTATTTAGTGCTGAGAAAGCACATACCATGTGCCCGATGTTATCCTAAGTGCTTTGTACAGGTGAACCCAATTAATGCTCTTTCCCAGCCTACTTAGGTACCATTTTCATCCCCATTTTATAGTTGAGAAAAACAGAATATAGAGTTCAGATGATTCCAGAGGTCACTCAGCGTATGAATGGCTTATGACGTGGGCCCTAAGCAGGGCAGTGGTCTTTGAAGTAAGTTCTCCAAGGCTTCCTGCTCTTGCCAGCCAGTGGGTCCCTTGGAGAAGCTCCTAAGCCTGCTGGCAGCCTCTCTCCTTGTCACTCCTCATAAAAGACCCTACTACTGTCTGGTTTATGTTCACACCGTCTCTGCTTTCCAGATCACCCTCAATTCTGTTTTCTCTCCCTTAAGACATGAAGGGACCATATTACCCCTGTTATGCCTGCCCCTGGAGTCCAGGTTCACCCTTCCTGAAACCCAAACCATGGGCCTTGAGACCACCAATCACACCTAGAGAGCGGGAGTATTGGGGCCTACGAGACCAAGTAGCCGAACCTCTTTATTTTGGATGAAGCATCAGAGGACCAGAAGGGTGGTGCGATTTGCCTAGGGCTGCACGGTAGTTTAGGAGCAAAGTTGAGTCAAGAACCCAGTTTTGTTTTTATTGTTTGAAACAATTGAATTTTCAGTAATGGAATTTTTAACTAAATAATGTTATATCCTCATATCAGACTAACTTTAAAAATGACTTAGCGCTAGAGGCATGTATGTGGGCCTTTGGTATTGGTACAGTATCTCCCTTGGGTGGACACCTTATTGAACTCATTTTACATAGGAGGAAAGGGAGTCACAGAGAATAAGTAGCTTGGCCAAGGATAGTGGTGGTGAGAGGCAGAGCTGGATTCCAACCCAGGCAGTCTGGGTCTAGAATCACCACACTAAACAGAGCCTAACTACTTTGCTATACCGCCCCCTTCAGTGATTTTGGAAAGTTTTTAAAATTTATTTTTATTTTATTTGTTTATTTATTTTTGAGATGGAGTCTCACTCTGTCACCCAGGCTGGAGTGCAGTGGCATGGTCTCAGCTCACTGCAACCTCCACCTCCCAGGACCAAGCGATTCTCGTGCTTCAGCCTCCTGAGTAGCTGGATTACAGGCACACACCATCGCGCCCAGCTAATTTTTGTTATTTTTAGTGGAGATCGGGTTTCACCATGTTGGTCAGGGTGGTCTCGAACCCCTGACCTCAAGTGATCCACCCGCCTCGGCCTCCCAAATTGCTGGGATTACAGACATGAGCCACCGCGCCCGGCCTATTTTCATTTTTTGAGACAGGGTCTTGCTCTGTCACCCAGGCTGGAGTGTAGTGGCGCCATCATGGCTCACTGCAGCCTCGACTTCCCAGGCTCCAGTAATCCTCCCAGCTCAGCCTCCTGAGTAGCTGGGACCACAGGCACGTGCTACCACACCTGGCTAATTTTTGTATTTTTGGTGGAGATGGGGTTTCACCATCTTGCCCAGGCTGGTCTCAAACTCCTGAGTTTAAGCAATTCACCCACCTCAGCCTCCCAAAAGTATTGAGATAAGACGCATGAACCACTGTGCCTGGACAGATTTTGGAAAGGTATTCACAAAAATTTATACATAAAAAGAATCTATAGTTTGATTTTGTCTCATTTTAAAGAGAAACATATGCTTAGAAAACAAATCAACATATGGATACCAAAATGTTGATGGTGATGACCTCTGAATGGTGGGATGATGGGTGATATTTATTTTTGTGTGTTTTCCTGCATTATCAAATTGTATGTAGTGAGAAAGTATTATTTTTATCACTAGATAACTTCATAAGAAGTCTCTGCTCATGGCAGTGAAATGGGTAAAGTAGTGTTTGGGGGACAATACTATAGCTTGCAGTATTAGTTTTCTCTCTTTCTTTGCTTTCTTTGCTTTCTTTCTTTCTTTCTTTCTTTCTTTCTTTCTTTCTTTCTTTCCTTTCTTTCCTTTCTTTCCTTTCTTTCCTTTCTTTCTTTCTTTTTTTTTGAGGCAGAGTCTCATTCTGTCTCCCAGGCTGGAGTGCAGTGGCACAATCTCGGCTCACTGCAACCTCTGCCTCCCAGGTTCAAGGGTTCTCCTGCCTCAGCCTCCTGAGTAGCTGGGATCACAGGCACGTGCCACCACGCCTGGCTAATTTTTGTGTTTTTAGTAGAGACAGGGTTTCACCATGTTGGCCAGGCCGGTCTCGAACTCCTGACCTCAAGTGATCTGCCCACCTAGGCCTCCCAAAGTGCTGGGATTACAGTTGTGAGCCACTGTGCCCGGCCAGTTTTATTTCTGATTAGAGCCTGTAGCAGGGCATTGGAAGAGAGAGAGGTGACCAGGCAAATTCAGCAGTTACAGCTCAAATGAGACTTAGAACTGCGAAATCAGGAAGAAACTTGGAAGTCACCACCAGGTGGCAGAGGGCCCCTGTCTCTTTACAGGCTCCTGCACCTCTGTGCTTTGGAGTTTCAGGTAACAGTGGACATTTGGGGAGAAATACCTGGTTGGCAACTTCAGGGTTCCAGGAGAAGAGTCCAGAGCCCCGAGACAAAGTAGGGGTGAATGAAGAGGCAGGTTGGGGCAGAGGATATTTTAGAGGATCTTGACATCTCAACAGGAAGTCCATCTCCTTCTGGCCCCAGCCTCATCAAGAAGGGCCCCCAGCAAAAACAAGCTCTGTGGTCATGGGATGGTGGAAGGGGGCAGGGGCCAGGAAGGGAGATGGATGGATATGGGAGCAGAAAGCAGGGTCCTGTCTGGCCAGGGTTGGGGAGGAGGGCGATTGGCTGTCTCTCTTTTTCTCCAGCTCTGAGCATCTCCTTCTGCTCTGTGAAACTCAGGTTCTGCCCTGTGACATTCTCAAAGTGATTTTCTTTGCTCTTCTTTCACCAGAGACCACCTGGGAACGTCCCAGCAGTTCTCCTGGGATTCCAGCCAGCCCTGGCTCTCACAGGAGCTCTCTGCCTCCAACAGGTAATGTCCGCTGTCTGCTTTGGGGCAACTGGGAGGGCCCTGATGCCACATTCAGTGGAGAGGCTGAGATGATGGGTCCTGGGTCTTAAACCTGGCTGATGTAGCAAACCCAGGGAGGGGTTGGGCCTGGGAGAGGGTCCCTTAGGCCTGCTGCCAAGCAGGTTGGTGTCTCCCTGGCAGTGCCAGCAGCAGCTCTGGTGGCCTCCTGCACACTCCTCCTCAGGCGCTTAGTGGGAGGAGATGGCTGGGGGAGGTGAGGTGTCAGAGCTCTTTCCTGTCTGTCAGGGGCAGGAAGACCTGAAGTGTGGACAGAACCACCCTATGTGGCTCTTGTGGACATCACGGAGTAGAAGCTAAAAGGAGGTAGATGTTTACAAGGCAGCTTTCAAATAAAACACCTGAAACAGTGTGAGGGAGACCTTTTGAGGGTGTGAGTTCCCCATCTGCAAAGGTAATCAAGCAGAGGCAGTTGAGATGGACGTTCTTTTTTGTTTGTTTGTTTGTTTCTCTTTTGAGACAGGGTCTCATTCTGTCACCCAGGCTGGAGTGCAGTGGTGCAGTCTCGGCTCACTGCAACCTCCCCTTCTGGGTTCAATGGATTCTTGTTCCCCAGCCTCCCGAGTAGCTGCGATTGCAGGTGCGCACCACCACACCCGGCTAATTTGTGTATTTTTAGTAGAGACGGGATTTCGCCATGTTGGCCAGGCTGGTCTTGAGCTCCTGGTCTCAAGTGATCCACCTGTTTTGGCCTCTCAAAGTGCTGGGATTAAAGGTGTGAGCCACCGCGCCTGGCTGAAATGGACATTCCTATAATAGGTGGGAGGTTTGTTCAGGGGCCTCTTGGGAGACATCTAGGTCTGAGATTCTGGAAGGCAGGTTATGGGACCCATCAGCAGGGAGAACAACATCTCCTTTCATGTGGCTTTTTAAAAATGTCACCTCCTCCAAGAAGCCTTCCCTGACCACTCAATTTTGAGCCCTCATGCAGTCACTTTAGATCTCAGCCGCATGCTATTTTAATGTCCCCATCATCCTGTTCCTAGTTGACCTTCACTCTCCCATGCTAGACTGTAAGCTCCCTGAGGGTGGGGACTTTGTCTGTTTCTTTTGTGATATCCTCAGTCCGCAGAGCCTGGCTTCCGTGTTGAACTAATTCACCAATGTCTCCACCATCCTATGGTGTGTGGAGCACACTTGTTGGTTTTCGACTTCAGGAGTCAATCTGGCAGCAAAGCATGAAAGTCAAAGTTGTGGTTGGGGCTGGGAATTTAATCTTCCAATGCCTTGAGCGTGACATCCTCAGCTTCTGTGGAAGGGAGGTGAGAGCCTGTGTAAAGTTTTCAGAAGAAAAAGTAATCCCTGGTCTAAATAGTTTACCTGAAGCAGCACAGGGAACCACAGGAAGGACCAAAGGTAATCACAGGACTCTGGAATACTGGATCGGAAGAGGGAGGTGGGACGCAAAGCGAGTGGCCAGATCCTCACCTTTCAGAGCAGGGAGTCTTTGGATATTGTCTAGCATTGAGACCTGAAGACATGAAAGTGCACATTCAAAGCATATTGCTTAGGCATATGACAGTTGCCAGCAGAAGAGCTCAAAACTGGAAAAGATGGGAAAATATTACCTCTAGAAAATCAGCTGAGGCGTGGGAGAGGTGATAGGAAGGTGGGTGTTTTCTATCAAAAATTATTTTAGGTTTTCAAAAGCACTTTATTTATATTTATATTATTAAATTTTTAAAAAAATAAGAAAGGAACCCCCTGTGTGGGAGGGACATGGGGCAGCTGTGACGGATTTCCTAGGGAGACAGTGAGTGCTGCCATCTCAGACCAAGTCCCCAGAAATGGGCCCGTTCGTACTGTAGCTGCCGTGTGACAGCAGGCAGTTCTGAGCCCACTGGCTTCTCTTTCAATGTTGTTCTTGTGTTTTTTTTTTTTTTTAAAACAATCAAAATGCCAGTGCGAATGACGCAAGGTGTGTCCTTTTTCCTGGCTGGCTCCAGGCCAGCCAGACACTAAAAAGGTAACCCAGCTGTCTTTTCCAGCCAGAGTGGTCGGTGAAGGAGGACAGGACAGGGAGGCCGGCAGAGGGAGGCTCGGATGTGTAGAGACAGCACGTGTGACTCGCAGCCTGCCCCGTTGGTGAGGCTGGTCGAGACTTGCCCTTTGAGTCATGGGGTCACTTCTCCAAAGCCTGCTCTCCTGGGACCCTCCACAGGCAGCATCTTGTCCTCTCTGCTGTTGATGGGGGCTGTCCTGCAGAAGGGATGCTCACAGGAGCTGCCTCCGGTCCCTGGCTTAGAGGCCTGGGTTTAACAGGCTCCCTTCTTTACCCTACAGGTGCATCAAGAGCCTCTCTCTGTCCAGCGCTGCACTGTGTGCTGGGCCCCTAAAGGGGGCTGAGAAAGGTGGGGAGATGGGTGGAGAAGGTCAGATATAGAGATGAGAATTGCCCGCATGGCCAAGGCTAGACTGAGTGTGTTGACAACTCCTGTCCCCCTCTGCCCCCATCCCCAGGGTGCTGGGGTAGTATTTCCTAAGGTGGAATCCTTGGGATCCCAGATGTATCCGTGCTCCATGAAGGAGGATGAAGAAGGACAGGCACATTAGCATTCTGAAGACTGCAGGAAGGCCTGAAATGAAGAAACCTATTTAACTCAGTTCGTTTGTGCTTTGTTTCTTTGTTTGAAACATACCACATATGTGTTAAGCTTTCCTCCCTCTTTTGGGTGGTTTTGCCTACCAGGGGACATTCGGCAATGTCTGGAGATATTTTTGACTGCCAGCACCGGGGGGAGGGGCTACAGGCATTTAGTGGGTAGAGGCCAGGGCTGCTGCTGAACATCCCACAATGCACAGGCAAGTCTTCACAACAAAGAATCACCTGGCCCTAAATGTTTACTAGTGCCGAGGTGGGGAAGCTCAGTTCTAGAGTGACCCAGAGCCTCAGTTCAGCGCTGCTCAAGGGTTCCCAGACCATGGCCCATTGAAGCAAGAAGCAGCAGCTCCCTACGTCAGCATGAAGAGTCCTGTGTCATTGATTCTGAGACATACATTTTCCCCTGACATATTAATATCTTGGAAGTCAGATGCATCTTACAATCAATAGTATATACTAGTTTATTAGAGACATGGTCTTGCTCTGTTACTCAGGCTGGAATACAGTGTCATGATCATAGCTCACTGCAGCCTCCTCCTCCAGGGCTCAAGCAGTCCTCCTGCCTCAGCCTCTCAAGTAGCTGGAACTACAGGCGTGTGCCACCACACCCCGCTAATTTTCTTATTTTATTTTCTTCTTCTTATTATTATTTTTTTCTGTAGAAACAGTGTTTTGCCATATTGCTCAGACTGGTTTTGAACTCCTGGTCTCAAGTGATCCTCCCAAAATTACCCAAATTACAGACATGAGCCACTGCTGGCCTCAATCACTGGCATCCTAGATTTGTGAAATTACAAATGTTAAACTGGGGCCTTGGGCATGTTTCTCCTTGCCAGGCCTCATTTTCCCCATTCATAAACTTGAGGGCCTGGAGAGAGATAAAACGAGGCCCTGCCCATCCATGCATGCTTTTGGATTATTTTGTTTGTTTGAGGTGGGGTCTTGCTCTGTTGCCCAGGCTGGAGTGCAGTGGTGTGATCATGGCTCACTGCAGCCTTGACCTCCTGGGCTCGAGGGATTCTCTCACCTCAGCCTCCCGATTAATTGGGACTATAGGCACATGCCACCTTGCCCAGCTAATTTTTAAAGAATTTTTCATAGAGACAAGATCCCACTATATTGCCCAGGCTGGTTTCAAACTCAGAATCCAGTGATCCTCCAGCCTCAGCCTCCCAAAGTGCTGGGGTTACAGGCATGAGCCGCCATGCCCAGCCAGCTTTACTTTTGTGTTGTAGCTTTGTTAACTTCTAGAGAGAGTTTGAAGGGCCACCCACAGAGCTGGTTCATTCTTATTAGTGCAGGTTTGTTGGATACTGGTAAGCAGAGGCAGCCAGGTTGCCAACTGGGAAGAGAGTTCTAGAAACATGCCTAGAGTCCTCCCCCAACCCCCCCCTTCCCCACCCCCGCACAAACTAGACTCCAGTCTTTGAATGTTGGGTGCTACTTAGGATCAGACCTGGGCTGGGGACTTTGCCTGCATTCCATCCTTTAATATCACCAGAGTTATGGAAGCTGTGTTTATTCAGTAGCTTTACTAGAGGTGTTTAATGCCAGGCTTTCTGGGTGAGACCCGCATGAGTAAGAAATAAACTTTAAACCAAAACAGAACACCTAAGACGCCATTCAGTAACTGCTGCAAATATTGAAAGTCCTCTTTGGGCTGGGCTTAACGTGCAGTGTGGAAATACTGATTTGTAGAGAGAAATAGTAACAGGCAAAGAGAAAGAAAATGAGTGAAAAGGGAGATGCTGGGAGTTTCATGTATGAGTCATTGGGTAGAATGAAGACAGTACAGGGCAGTGTTGTCCAGTAGAACCCTCTGTGACAGTATAAGCATTCTTTCTCTGTGCCTTCCAATATGGTAGCCACTAGCCATGTGTGGCTCTTGAGTACTTGAATGGGGCTGGTATGTCCAAGGAGCTGAATTTTTCATTAATTTAATACCTTGTTAAAATTTGGGGAACAATTTTTAATTTACAGAAAAGCTATAAAGACAGTAACTTCCTGTGCCTTCTGTACTCAGTTCTCCCGGTTGACATCTTACATAACCACGGTACATTTGTCAAAACCATGAAATTGACATCGTGCATTACGAGTAACTGAATGTTAGACTTTATTCAGATGTCATGAGTTTTTCCATTCATGTCCTTTTTCTGTTCTTGGATCCAGTCCTGGAAATCATATTGCATTTAGATTTTATTTAAATTTGATTTGTTTAAATTCAAATAGGCATCTGTGGCTTTTGTGTCAACAGTGCAAATGTGGAAAGTGAATACCTTTCTGAGCCTCTGGGCCTGGGATATGCATTGAACTTACGTGTTTTTCTTAAGGATAAAAGAAATCTATTATTTTTTGAGGTTGTCCTGGTGGGCGGTTGTGGGAGTGTTTCAGGAAACATGGGTTCAGGATCTGGCTTTGCTCAGCCTTGGGGCTTCAGCCCACTGAGGGATCATCCTTAGGCCTCCAGTAGCCTCAGGGAACCTAGATTAAAGGGGAGAGAGTGAATGCCTTTGCAGAGGCTGAAGGGCAAGGAGGACCTTCCTTTGAGCCTGAGGAGCCGGCCAGGGATATGGTTAGGGAGGCAGCTGTGCTTCCTCTGAGCAGGGGCTCTCTGGGGAGGGGGCTCCTGAACCCAGAGCCTCACCCTCGCCCACACCTTCTTCTCCAGATCAGGAAGCCTGGGACAGCTCTCCTCTCCCCTGCAGGAGCAAAGGAAGACCCTCGCTTCTTGCGAAATTAGCCAGTCTCAGGTTCAAAGCAGCTTCCCCAGCACTCTGACTTAGACCTCACCCCTGACTCCAGGGAAGGCCCTGACACCTTCTGCTGGAAGAAGTGCATGTTCCCCTAGAACCAGTGTTCTTGCTGGCTGAGGCTCCTGGGACCTTACAAAGGCCTGTTTAACCTCTGATGTCCTGGAAAGCAGCCACAGGTGTTTCACTATTCACAACCATGTGGGAAAATCTTTTATCAGTCTGTCTTTGGGAACGCAGTTCACATCTTAGACAACTAGGAGAGACAGTGAGGACCAGGTGGCCAGAGAGAAATTTCTGGAACAGAAAGGTATTTATGTAAAACTGCTCCCCTAAATGGGCCATGGTGGACAGTGGATCCTCCTGAGAAGGTGAGCATGGTGACCAAGGAACCTGCGAGGCCTTCCAGGATGTGGTGGGAGGAAGGAGGCTGTAATTGTGCCCTATGTCATCAGACCGGATGAGCACGGAACTGCCCCACTTCAAACCTTGCATTCTGTGGCCATGACTGTGTGTCCCAAAGTGGATTTCACGGTAGCCCTGCTGTATTTCCCTCAACGGGTTCTGCGTCTGTGTGCGCGGAAGGATGCTGCATGCTGTTGCCTTGTTTGAGATTTCAAGCGCATGTCAGCATATTCTAAAAGGCCTACTGTAAATAAACTCAATCTGAATAATGGGGTGTTTGTCCTAAATTCTTTGGACCGTAACACTGACCCTTTACTATCACTGCATAACACTTACAATACACATCTGGCAGAATTGCTATCCTGTTTAACACACCTGGGGAAACATTAGGCTGTACTATGTTTAATATGTGATAGATGAGGAAGGAGAACGGGTGGAAGGAAGGAAAAAGGGGGGGGTGAGAAAGAAGGAGGGAAGGAGGATGGGTAGAAGGAAGGGAGGAAGGAAAAAGAAGCCCGAAGGGAAGGGAGGGAGGGAAGAAGAGAGGGGAAGAGGAAAAGAGGGAAGCGAGGATTTCAAGAACCAGGGCTTCAGCACTCCGGGGTTCCTCAACTTTGTTTTTTTTGGTTTGTTTTGGAGACAGTTTCGCACTTGTTGCCCAGGCTGGAGTGCAATGCCAGGATCTTGGCTCACTGCAGCCTCCACCTCCCGGGTTCAAGCAATTCTCCTGCCACAGCCTCCCAAGCAGCTGGGATTACAGGCGTGCGCCACCATCCCTGGCTAATTTTTTGTATTTTAGTAGAGATGGGGTTTCACCATGTTAGGCAGGCTGGTCACGAGCTCCTGACCTCAAGTGATCCGCCCTCCTCAGCCTCCCAAAGTGCTGGGATTTCAGGCGTGAGCCACCGCTCCCAGTCACCAGGTTTCCTAACTTTGAGGAGTGAAATTACTATGTTTATTCCAGAGAGAGGAGAAATTAGGCCAGACCTACAGGAGGTATAATAAGAGAGTGTTCATGGCTGATTTTCTTATGTTCTTTTGGGTTCCTCAGGGAACAGGAACCTGGAGAGTAGGGCTCTGAGGATGCGACTTTTTCCCTCAGGGATCGGTACTGAGATATGGAAGCCGAGCTGTGGGTGGGGGTGAGCCCTGGGTGGCGGAGCTGCTGGCGCTTCTTTGTTGCTTGGCCTTTCTCGATAACTTTTCATATTCGCCTTTCTTTTCTGTTTCTGTTGACTTCTCCCTACCCAGACCTCCCTCCTCTTTTCTACCCAAATATCTGTCCCCTCCTCTCATTAGACACCTCCTAAGCCCTCTCAAGTTGCTTAACTGCCTATAAGGGAAATGAAGTGTGTGGGTGCCTGTGTGTATTATTTATATTTGAAGCTGCTAAGGTTACTAACTAGATAGAGCTTTTAGTTCCCTTTTTAAAAATCTTAAAAACAGATGAGTGTGACATTTGCTTTTTTTTTTTCCTTGTATCTCCAGACTGAATTATGTTCCCTTTATGAGCGATCCTTGACCAATTTCATTTTTCTTCCCCCAGAGGCTGGAGGCCCCAGAAGCACCCACTTCTCGCCTCATTTGTTTTGTGGCTGACCCTGGGTGAGCCGGGAGCCCCCAGGACAGGGAATAGCAATGAGGAATGCCGTGGGTGAGGGTTGCCAGGATCTTGTGGGCTATAACTGTCTAGATCTCCACTGAGACGTATTCTGAATGTGCCCGGGAGACTTCAAGTGATAACGCAGCCAGACAGGGTGTCCGAGGAGAGCTGCTACGTGGGGAGAAAGGGTCGAATGGAAAACTGTGTTTTCTTTCCTCGTAATTGTTTTGACATGAGCAGTAATTAGCCATCAGCTGACAGACCAGAACTGAAGTGGGAACAAGGGATTGGATTAGGGGCAAAATGTCTCCTCTTTAGACAGTTCCTGGCGGCTGCAAGTGTGGGGAAAGACTGGGGCAGAGGAGAGGCAGGACCTGGGCATGCATTTGGAGGGTCTGGGGAGGGAGGGAGTCAGGGTCTCCTCAGGAGCTGGGACAACCTTGGTTCATGGGGACTCAGCATTATCAAAGATAGAGATTTATTACCTACTCAGATAAAAACTTGTGCATTTCATTTTCGAAAGCAGACTAAACATGGTTCCCTTGTGTATTGTTTGATTTTAAGACCAGGGTCATGTTGACTTTGTAAAATAGACCTGGAAGCCTGCCACATGTTTCTATGCATGGATGTGTCTTTCTGGAGTGTGTGAATGAATTTGCCCATCAAACCATCTGGGTGCAGTGCCTTTTGCGGGGAGGTCATTTTTCAAAGGTTTCACTTCTTTTTGGCATCTCTTGAAACCCTTTTGATAATTTGAATCTCATGGAAGGTTTGGTGTTGAAGATACAGAATTATAAGTCATATGTTCTTGCATTTAAAAAGTTTCTACTATAAGTACAGCACGGTGGCTCATGCCGGTAATCCCAGCACTTTGGGAGGCTGAGGCTGGCGGATCACTTGAGGTCAGGAGTTTGAGACCAGCCTGGTCAACATAGTGAAACCCCGTCTCCACTAAAAATACACAAATTAGCTGGGCATGGTGGCGGGCGCCTGTAATCCCAGCTACTCGGGAGGCTGAGGCAGGAGAATCACTTGAACCCGGGAGGCGGAGGTCGCAGTGAGCCGAGATCGCCCACTGCACTCCAGCCTGGGTGATGAAGCAAGACTCCGTCTCAAAAAAAAAAAAAAAAGTTTCTACTATATTTGTTGTGCCATTGTTTTCTTTCTAATCCCTAATTCTGAGCATTTGTGTTCTCTTTCCCTCTCAAATTACCCTGGCTTATCTGCTGTTTTTATTGTTGTGATGCACACACACAGAACCAGCCATGGTTTGCTAATGGTCTCCCGTTTCCTGACTCGTTAATTTCTGTTACCACTTTTCTATTCCGTTCTCCTGTTTTCTTTTGGCGTATGTTATTGGCCTTTAAAATTTTTTCCCCAGATCTTAAGTTGAATGTTTAGTCCATTTATTTTTGTTCCTTTGGGTTTGGTAATGAAATAATTAAGGCTGTGGATTTTCCTCCAGGTATACTTCAGACTTTATCCCATTTGTTTTGATATATTCTTCTTTATTATTTTCTAAATATTGTGTAATTACAGTTTTAAATTCCTTTTTGATCTGGCATTATTTAAGAGGGCAGTTTCTTACATTTCTAAGTGTTTAGGAGTTGGGGGGATGGGGATCTTGTATATTTATTCTTTCATTATTAATATCTACTTTTATTGCTTTCCTGGTCAAAGAATGTGGCCTGTGTTTTTTATACCTTTTGCCATTTATTGATAGTTTATTTGTGGCTTAAATGTGACCAAGTTTTTACATGTTCCAGGGCTTCCTGGCAGAAGATGTTATCTTTGTTTGTAGGATATGATGTTTACTACATCTATTTCAATCAGCCTTTTAAATTAAATTATTCGGGTCTTCTTTATCCTCCTTGTTTTTGTCTGTTAATCAGTCCTAAACTGAAAGCAGTGTCCTGAGGTTTTCTTCTGTTGTCTTTAGGTTTTTCAGCATCTGTGTTTTATTCAGATAGTTCTATGCTATTTGATAAAATTTCTCCACTCTCATGCCCTCGTTGTAGGGTGTATTTATCATCAGGCTCATGTCTTTCCTGGCATAGCTTGATGCCAGTCAGAGTGGATTCTCCTTGGCCCCCTCAGCATTTTCCCTGATGCTGTTGGAATCCTGTCCTTGCCTCTTAAGCTGCCTTCATAGCGGGTGGATGGTATCTGCACTTGGCCAGCTGCCTGAGGGATGTGGGTGTGGCCCAGGCTTGTAGCTGGCCCTGCAGGGTGGATTTGTTGTTTCTTGTTGCTTCCCTCAAGCTTCTACTGTACTAGGGGCCTGCTGTGGATCAGCTTGCTATTTCCTTGGGATGTGTGCAACCACCTTATTCTGGAACGGGGGGTAAACCCTGTAGCTGGGGGAGAAGCCCAGCTGCGCACAGGCACTCAGCTGCATGTGGCCCTGCTTGGCCCTGGAGTGTTCACTGCAAGTGGTGGAGAACGGGGCACCACCTGAGCAGGAGACGGGTTCTCCGTGGAACGGGCTTCATCATCCCATTGCCCAACGCTTGCCTCCAGTCCTCGTCGCTCCAAATGAGTAGGTGTTGGTGGTAACTTTCAGCCATATTCTCCTGTGCTTCCTGCCACGCTATAGAGTTTTCTCTAGAAGAATCATGAGTTGGACATCAGTGTGTAGATCTTCCTCCAGTCTGACCTGCATTGTATATATTTATTGGCAATTACTTGAAGCCTGGGTCACGGGATGGCGCATCGTCCTGGTCTCCTGAGATCACGCAGGCTTGTGGTTCCTGGGGACTCAATTCAGGAACAAAAGCAAAGACCTTCCCCTTCTGGATGCCTCTGCTCCCCCACTTTTTTGATACAGGGTGTCACACTCTGAAGTGTGGGCTGGAGTGTAGTGGTACAATCACAGTTCACTGCAGCCTCCACCTGCCAGGCTCAAGCTATCCTCCCACCTCAGCCTCCCGAGTTACTGGAACTACAGACATGAGCCACCACACCCAGCTAATTTAAAAATATATATATTTTGTAGAGATGAGGTCTCACGGTGTTGTCCGGGCTGATCTTAAACTCCTAGGCTCAAGCAGTCCTCCCTCTGCCTCCCAAAGTGCTGGGATAACAGGCATGAGCCACTGCCCCCTGGCCATTCCTCCCTTTTTAATTTTTTTTAAATTTTTTCTATTTTTAAAAATAGAGATGGGGTCTCACTATGTTGCCCAGGCTGGTCTGGAACTCCTGGACTCAAGCGATCCTCCCACCTCCACCTCACGAAGTACTGGGATTATAGGCGTGAGCTACCGCACCCTGCCTTTCATCCTTCCCTTTTTTAAATGAAGTGCTTTATGACTACTTATAACTTTTGCTATTATCGCTTTGTTGGATTCTCACACCAACAAAGTAGGTCAGGAGAATACGTAGAATTATCCCCATTTTACAGGTACAGAAGCTGAGGGTCACTGAGGCGAAGCTGCTCGTCTAAGCTTATGTAGTTATATTTCTACAAGAGCGGTACCACCTGGGAACCGAGATCACGTGGGTCCCAGTGTGAATTCGTGATGTCAGGAGCGTGCGTGTAGCGGCGTTGGGGCTTGAAACCGTCCATGCTGGGAGTGTCTTTGGCACAGAAATCGACAGATACTACATATCAGGGCTCCCCCTGTTCCTTGGAGAGCAGGTTTATCAGCAAGTGTTGGGAGCATGAGTGAGTGTCCCCCAAGAGACATAAAGTTATAAGGGTAGAATTTTAGAGCCTCAGATAATGTGTTTTTTTTGTTTTGTTTTGTTTTGTTTTTTGATGGAGTTTTGCTCTTGTTGCCCAGGCTGGAGTGCAGTGGTGCAATCTCAGCTCACTGCAACCTCTGCCTCCTGGGTTCAAGCGATCCTCCTGCCTCAGCCTCCCGAGTAGCTGGGATTACAGGTGCCTGCCACCACGCCTGGCTAATTTTTTTGTATTTTTAGTAGAGACAGGGTTTCACCATGTTGGCTAGGCTGGTCTCAAACTCCTGACCTCACATGATCCGCCCACCTCGGCCTCACAAAGTTCTGGGATTACAGACATGAGCCCCAGCTCCAAGCCAGATTATGTATTTTTAATTCTAGGAGAACGGTGACTCAAGAATGAAGTGCATATGATCACCTGACTATTAATTGACAGAGCCTAATTTCACGGTGACCAGTCAATCCAGTCCTCTTTCTAGTATATTCACACTCCGCTGCTCTGAGTTTGAGGGTGGAGAAGTTACTAAGAAAGCTGAGGGAAATTGTTGGAAGGTGGTGGAGAGCCCCCCGCCCCGACTCTACGGAGGGAGATTGGACCCGTGACTGGCATTTGTAACTACAACTGATGTGGTATTTGTAGCAAAGGCAGCTGGACCATAGTGACCTCCCCTCCTGTTAGGCACATTCCTTTTGCTCTCGGGTTAAAAAAGAAACTCAGTCCCCTAAGAATTCAGTAATTTGGGTGCTGAGGATTAGAGAGATGCCTTCAACCCATTTCCAGCTCTGCAGATACAGATAAGATCAGATCCTGAGGGATGGTCTTCGCCACGCAAGACCTCTCAGAGCCAAGGAAGGAGGTGGGAAAAGGGGCTGCAGTGGACGAAAGGCGGGGGTGCCCATCTGTGGCCCACACAGCATCTGAGCCGTGTCTCTGTCCCTGCAGTGAATGGATACCACGCATCAGGGACCCCAGCGCACCCTCCAGAGACTGCCCACATGAGTGTCCGAAAATCCACCGGTGATTCCCAGGTAAGGGGTCCTGTTGAGGGAGGTATAGCGGTCACTGCTTCTGCAGGCCTAGGAAACTGCATTACAAAGTCCATCATGGGAGTCCAGGTGGCTGCAGCCCAGTTCTGCCCCCAGGTAGAAAGTGGTTGCTGTGTCTGGGTTGTTTCAGTGTTCCCTGATGGGGAGAGGGTTGGATGATTGTGGTCTGTTGGTTTTCTAGAAGTCGAGGGTGGTTTGGAGGAGGGGTTGACGGTGATGGGGTTGAAACCATTAGGACAGAGAGTTCCATTCTCTGGTCTGGATTCCTGATACCTGAAGCCTGTGTTTCTCACCACTTTAAGAGTATGGATGTGCCAGACAATTTTCCTTTTCTCTACCCTACCCCTCCCACGGACAGATTACCCAGAATGGAATTTAGTAAAATTTGATCATCTCATTTGATAAAGTAGCATAGAGAGAGCTATGAGATGGAAGGAAATGGGAGTATGTTGTACGATTTCCAAACTGTTTTCTCAGTCTCCATCCTACTTGATGTTTATGCAAACATGTGAGTTAGGCGTCAGTAACAACTCAAGGTATGCATGAGGTCACCGAGGCTCCAACTGGTTTTGTGACCTGTGCAGGCTCACAGGATTACTCAGTGGTTAGACTGGACCTTGATGTCAGTGCTTACGGCTTTTCTAGTTGCGTGAAGCTGTGCCTAAAAAACTGAGGACTAGCCTTATTTAGTCTACCCATAAATTATCAAGAAGATGTTCTTAATGAAGCTTCCAAACTCCAGCAGCCTTTTCCAGGAATTAAAATGCCAGAATCCTGGAGGTGATAATGAAAATGATGACAATAATGATCATTGATGATGATCATGATGATAATATTGATGATGTTGATGATGACAGTAGCTGCGTGTGCAGTGGATTCTATGTACCAGTCACTGGAAGAAGGAAATCTATACTTAACATAAGGAAAAAATGACTGGAAGAAAAATAAACCGGAGGATTGATTATGGTTCTGTCTGCATCTGAGACCGTGGTTCTTAATCAAGGGACATTTGGCAACATCTGGAGACCCATTGGCTGTTAGTATAATCAGCTGAAATGTGACACTCAGCTTTATCATGGACAAGAGTGTTAATTTGGGGGAACGTTATTAAGTCGTTCTGTTAGGATGCTGAGTGTTGGGCTTCGATTCAGTTCAGTTAACTCTGGAAAAGAATTTGAACCTCAGTGTATGTCAGGACTTCTTATGTTTTGATGGACTTAGAGTGAGCTGGGCCTCTTGTTAAAATGCAGATTCTAATCCAGGAGATCTAGGGTGGGGGCTGAGGTTCTGGGTTTCCAGCCAGCTCCGAGGTGACGCTGATGCTGTAGGTCTGAGGACCACTCCTGAGCAGTGGACTAGCAGTCAGTAGCACACAGCTGGCCTATCGGTCTCCTTCTCTCCTCTGCTCATGTCACCCATCATGAATCAACCGTGGCTTTGTATGTTTCCTGCTGAGCTCCCAGCTTGCCTTCTCAACACAGATTCTGTTATCCTGTTTGAAGTGAAACTTACTTTTGTCTCCTGATTTGAGACTGTTTTGGAAGACATCAGCCTAAATTCTGATGTGGTTCAGCAACGATGACAGAAATCTGGTGTTACCCTGGGCATCATCAGGAAGAATATGAGAAACAGCTCCCCATCCTCAAAATCATTCTTTCTTCCCTGATAAAACATAATCCCTTCTGAAATACTGTGAAGTTGTTACTCATCTATTTTAAAGAATGGACACTGGTATAACTGATATCTCAGAAGCTGATTTAACACTGTGCATTATAAGCCATCGACACAGGGATGTCTTGTCTAGTGTCTGTTCTTGGGGTATCTTGAGGGGTTCTGATTTATGTGCAAGGCTATTCACTCACACATTATTTACAGCACCATAACACTAGACCCAGCCTAACTGTCCTGCAACAGGGGATGGGTAAAAGGGATGATGGCGCTGGAGGTTAGCCAGTGATACTATGCAGCCATTAGCAAGCATGCTTCTGAAGAAAATGCAATAATTTGGGAAAGTACTCACAACATAAAATAGAGTAAAAAAAAAGTAGGACACACATTGCATATATAGTCAGTCTTATTTGGCAGAAGGAAATCTATACTTATCTATACTTAGGAAGAAGGACTAGAAGGAAAACTGGAAAACGTACGGTGGCTCTGTCTGCGTCTGAGATCATGGCTATCAATTGGGACTTTTGACAATGTCTGGAGACGTTTGGATTGTCACGCCTGGGGAGGGGGGGTGCTACTGGCAACTAGTAGGTGACACCAGGGATGACGCTGAGTATCTCGCAAGGCATGGGACACCACAGCAAAGAAGTGCTCAACTTGAAAACATGAATCGTGCTGAAGTTGAGAACCTTTGGTCTAAGATCATGGGTCATTTTATTTTCTTTACACTTGTTGTTATTTTTCAAATTTCCTAAAATGAACACATTTTACTTTTATAGAAGGCAGATACAATTTTTTACTTAAAAAAAAAAAAAAAAGCTACAAAGTAGGTACCAGTATGGGGAATTCAGGAGAGGCGAGCTCTGGAGATGCAGGCCCGGGTAGATAGTGGCTGCCTAAAGACAGGCGGATTGAGTCAGACTCTTTTTGGATGGTAACCTTGGGAGCTGAGGTGTCATCAGGGTAACAAAAATAAATCATGTAGTATATGGAGAGGGCGAACGTGCGTTGTTCACCAGTCCCAGGATCAGGAGGTAGAATGTTATTCTTTTAGGCTTTGAAAGGGTAACATTTGTATATAAAAGCTACTACTTTTTTAAGTTAAAAATAATTAGGAAACAGGGTGTCCCTGTGTTGCCCTTGCTGGAATGCACTGGCTGTTCATGGAGGTGATCGTAGATCACTGTGACCTCAGCTTGGAACTGCTGGGCTCAAACAATCCTCCCGCCTCAGCCTCTGGAGTAGCTGGGACTGCAGGCGCCGGCCACCACGCCCAGCTAGCTACTACTTTTTGTCCTGGTTTGTGAGCCTGCAGGCTGGTTATCCAAAAAGGTGCCAAGAGTTAAACATACAAATAGGTTAAGAAGGTTTGGTGTTTACAGAGAGCTCTACCAACAAAGGGTCCCCAGGTATAGACCCCACTCCAGCATGCAGACGAGTAGATTCACCATCCCTGCTGTCAGTTATCACTCATGATAACTACACTTAAACATCAATAAATGAATAAATGAGCAAAGGAACACTTGAGATGCGGCATGTGGGGTGGATAAAGTGGCATGTTCAGGGTTACAGTGACGAAACCTAGACTGGAAAGCCCCAGATCTCAAAACCCGGTTGTGATCTCTTTCCGCCCCCTGCTTAGCTGCCCCTCCTTGAGCAAGCTGATCAGGAAGATTAGAATTTTGGGGGGAGGGGGCGGTCGTGGTGGCTCAAGCCTGTAATCCCAGCACTTTGGGAGGCCGAGGCAGGCAGATCAGGAGGTCAGGAGATCGAGACCATCCTGGCTAACACTGTGAGACCCTGTCTCTACTAAAAATACAAAAAATTAGCCGGGCGTGGTGGCGGGCACCTGTAGTCCCAGCTACTCGGGAGGCTGAGGCAGGAGAATGGCATGAACCAGGGAGGCGGAGCTTGCAGTGAGCCGAGATTGCACCACTGCACTCCAGCCTGGGCGACAGAGCGAGACTCCATCTCCAAAAAAAAAAAAAAAAAAGAATTTTGGGGGGTGGGTGTCGGGGGATGGGGAAAGGGACTTTCCACGGACACCAGTAACGTGTCCCCACCATACTATGTCATGGGGAGGACTGATAGTGGGTGCCCCACAGTTCCTGAGGGTGCCTGCCCCGCTCCTTCACTCAGCCCTTGGAGACCTGGATGGGTGGGCACAGGAGGTGGTGATCTGGTGCCACCCAGTGGAGGGTTTCAATTCTGCAGCCCTGGGGCAGTCGGCCCAGGTACTGGGTAAATGCAGCCCACCTGATTCGGGGGCAGAGGCGAGGGATCAAAGGCGAATCATCTTTTTTTATTTTTTATTTTACTTTAAGTTCTGGGATACATGTGGAGAACGTGCAGGTTTGTTACATAGGTACACATGTGCCATGGTGGTTTGTTGCACCTATCAACCTGTCATCTAGATTTTAAGCCCTGCGTGCAGTAGGTATTTGTCCTAATGCTCTCCCTCCTCTTATCCCCCACGCCCCGATAGGTCCTGGTGTGTGATGTTCCCCCACCGGTGTCCATATGGTCCCATTGTTCATCTCCCACTTATGAGTGAGAACATGCGGTGTTTAGTTTTCTGTTCCTGTGTTTGCTGAGAATGATGGCCTCCAGCTTCATCCATGTCCCTACAAAGGACATGAACTCATTCTTTTTTATGGCTGCATACTATTCCATTATGTATATATGCCACATTTTCTTTAGTCTATCATTGATGGGCATTTGGGTTGGTTCCAAGTCTTTGCTGTTGTAAATAGTGTAGCAATAAACACGTGTGCATGTGTCTTTATAGTAGAATGACTTATATTCCTTTGGGTATACTCAGTAATAGGATTGCTGGGTCAAATGGTATTTCCGGTTCTAGATCAAAGGCTAATAGTCTTGCTGCCTTTGCAGAATCGCGTCCTAGTGGGTCCCTTCCCTTCCTGCCCACCAGTGCCTGGGCCTTTTTGTGATCCACCTTTCAATTGTTCTGGCTTCTCACGAACTTCCCAGGAAGACCCTCTAGACACAGGAGAGAGGAAAGAGAATGGGACGAAGGGCTTGGAAACTTGAGGGACCCATTGGAGCATGGAGTTCAAAGTGGAGAAAGAGGTGAGATGTTTAATCTCCACCACCTCCTACCTACCTCAATAATTCAATAACACATGTTCTTATTGAGCAATTTCGGTCTTTGTCAGGCACTGAGACACAGGTGATATCTATAGCCCTGCGTTGATGGAGTTTTATGGCTGGTGTGGGAGAAACAGTAGATAAATAATGGTGCAATTTCAGCAGTGACAAAGGCTGGAGGAAGTGGATGCTGTGAGAACCTAGCCTGGTGCTGGAAATGTCAGGAATTAAGGTACCTTAAGAAAAGATACCTATTCTAAGACTGGAATGATGAGCAAGGGTTTCACTTGGCAAAGAGGTGGGGAAAGAATAGCTTTCCAGGGGAGGGAATAGCATCGTGGATGCCTGGAGGCAGCAAGGGGGAACCGTGTTTACGCATAGAGACCCAGTGTGGCTGTGGCTTACTAAATCAGCAGGAATAGGGAGGGTGGGAAATGAGGCTGGGGTAGTCTGCGCAGGCCTGCCACGAGGAGCTCAGGGGTTATCCTAACTGCACTGGGAAGCCATTGAGGGGTTTTGTACAGGATCCCACCTGCTGAAGGGATGGGACCCAGATTATTTGCAGGGGGGGAGGAAATGGGCTGAGAAGACATTTGGAGTCGGGGGCCTGCTGAATCACTTGTGAATGACCCACTCCAGTTTACCAAGCACTTCCTGTGTGGTATCACCCCCTGCCAGGCCTCAGGGTGATGCAGAGATGCCCAGGTGGGGTGTCCTGACCCCTGGGCAGGCCTTTACAAAATAAATGGAAGGGAAGAGTTCTCTGGAATCACAGGCAAAGGAAATTTAAAACAAATACTCTTATTATAGGCATTTGCAAACCTTTGCAAAAGTAGAGGGAATATATAATAAGGTACCACAAATCTGTTAAGCCCAACGATTACCTGCCTTTGTCCAATCTTGTTTTATTTGTGCTCCCATCCCCTCCCCCAATCCCCTTGCCCTCCACCCCCTAGATTATTTTAAACCACATTTCTGACTTACTGTTTTAAATGCAAATATTTCAGAATGTATCTTCCAGGAAGAAGACATAATGATAATACCATTATCATATTTAAGAAAACATTAATTCAATAATGCCGCCTAATATATACACTCCAGATTCCTCAATTGTCTCAAAAAATGCCTTTTTTTAAGAAAGAAAAAAGAGAGAGATGGGGTCTTGTTCTGTACCTCAGGCTACAGTACAGTGACACCATTATAGCTCGTGAATTCTAGAACTCCTGGGCTCAAGCGATCCTTCCACCTCAACCTCTCAAAGCCTAGGGTTACAGGTGTGCGCCACCATACCTGGCCCCCAAATCCCTTTTATGGCTGCTTTTCTCCCCAGTCCAGGATCCCTTCAGGTTCACACACAGATACACTGGTTGCTGTGTCTCTGTTGTTTCTCTCTCTCTCTCTCTTCCCCCACCAAAAAACTGCTTTATTGAGCTGTAATTCACATACCCATACAATTCACCCATTTAAAGTGTATACAATTCAGTGTTTTTTACTATATTTACAAAGTTTTACAACCATCATCAAATCTATTTTAGAACATTTTCATCAACCCAAGCAGAATCACCTGAAGACTTAGGCAGCCCCTAATCTTTCTGTCTCTATGGGTTTGCCTCTTCTGGACATTTCATATAAATGGTATCATACTATCTGTGGTCTTTTGTGTCTGGCCTCTTTCACCTGGAATTCCAAGGTTCATTCACATCGCGGCATGGATGAACACTCCATTCCTTTTTATGACAGAAGAATATTCTGTCGTATGGATAGAACGTTTCATCCAAGTTGTTGCCTGTCTCGTTGCCTCTACACTCAATCCCTTACACCTTTTTTTCTTTTTTTTTTTTTTCATCACCTTGACGATTTATTTTTGAGGAGTCCAGGTCAGGTGTCTTATAGAATAACCTGCGTTCTTGGTCTGACTGTTCTCTTATGCGTAGGTTCAGGTTCTGGAGTTTGGGCAAGAATAGCTGGACAGGGCATGTGGGGTTCTTTTTACTGCATTTGGGGGCACAACCACCCAGGTTGGCACCCTACTCATGAGGCTCAGTTTGCACTCTCGGTTAAGGTGCTGACTGCCAGATTTCTCCTTTGCAGGGGTACATTTTCCCTTTCTAATTTGTCAGTCATCTGTGAGGTGCCAGTGTAAGACCCTGTGAGTATCCTGTGCCCTGGCAGTCTTTCCATCCCCTGCTTTCAGCATCCTTGAGGATCATGGCCTGAGTCCCCTTTGAGGCTGGGGTTTGCAAATGGTGGTCATCCAATTTCTTGTACATTTTTTATTGGCATTCTTCTGAAATAAATGTTCTCTCCCTTCCCCTTTGGAGTTAGTTAGTTAGTTGCAGTCATTCATTCATATTTGTGCTCAAATTGTCGCAGATTTGGCCTGTGGTAGCCCTTTAAGTTGTTTATGTTCTTTTGTTATCTCTCCATTATTCTCTGAATACTTTCTTACCTCTTGGTACAATAGGATATTCCAAATACCTGCCTTTGAAATTAGTACCAAGGAGCTTCCGGTAATATTTGGAAACCAATTTCTAGCCAGTAGATGTTGTCACTGTGATGAGATGTCATTCCTTCTGGGCCCTTTCAATGGAGAATTATGATAGTGTGTGTGTCACGTGTGTGTGTGTGTGTGTGTGTGTGTGTATAAAATGCACGTGATATGTATATGAAGTTGGAGCAGTAGGCACAGGTTATCAGCAGCACAGGCAGAGCCTGAGATTGCCTGTGATCTACCTTGGCCCTCAGTGGTTGAAGTAAAACACTGCTAATAGAACAGAGACCAGGGAAGGTGCTGACACCTAACACGTGGAACACCCAACCTCAATGCCATTACTTGTATTCCTATCCTAGCCAAGTTATAAGGAGGAGGTGCGACCTCTGCGTCAAGCCTTATTCTACAGAGATTTATACACAGTGGTCCCAAAATATATGTTTGTGGTTGATGGAAATCTTTTTTGCCTTCCTGCAAAGACACATGGAAAACAAAATATTGTCTCAGGTCTCAAAGTGGAGAGATGGCGGAAGATAGAGGAAAGAGTTATGCAGGCTTGGATTCTAATTTCCACTCCTCTGTTTACTATAGCCTTGTGACCCTGGACAGTTTTACTTCTGCAAGCCCCAATTTCATGATCTGCAAAATGGAGTTGATGCCATTTAACTTGCTGGGGTTGTAAGGATGAAATGAGATTAAATATGTCAGATGGCTAACCTGGAGCCTGCCGTAATAAGCAAGCACTCAGTAGACAGTCGCTCTTGCACTGCTTCTCCCCTTAGCCCCCTCATCACCAACATCATCAGCATCCATAGGCAGACTCGAAGGCTGTTGCCAAGGCTGCTGGAGTGCTGGTTCCCCTCTCTGGGGGGCTGCAGTGGGAACGCGGTGGTGATGGTGGTAATGTGTCCATGACAGGAAGACAGACTCCTGCAGACTGCAGAATCCATCCCATAGGCTACTCTTTCCCCTTCCTGCCATGTATTTGCTTGGCTAGAGTCTGTACGTGAATGAACCTATGGAGAGAGAGACTTCTATCCCTGTCTCTTCTCCTTGGTGACTGGTACCTCCTGCCATGTAGCCTCCGTCTGCCTTTCTCCCTGTGCAGTTTTGTCAAGTGGGAAGGTATAGGGTGGGCCAGCTGGATGAGATGATGCACTAAAAATGTCTATGGAAGCTGTAGTTGGCCATAAAGTTGACGTTGGCCAGGAGCCCGTTGGGGTCACTAGAGGAGTTGCCATAAGTAGAGGTACCTCAGTGAAACCACAGTGTAGATCAGATCCATGTATCTCTGAGTGAGGTCCACAGATTCTGCAAATCAGAGGTGCTGGCACCACCTGGGACCTGCTGGATCAGGCCCAGCAGCTGAGAGTGCAGCTGGGACTCTATTTTGGACACTTTTTCCTCAGTTGATTCTGATGCACCTCAAAGCTTGAGGACCAGTGATAACCATCCATTTGACAGATGGAGAAATTGAGGCTCAAAGAAGTCAGATTCTCTGGCCAGGGTCTCAAGGCTAGTAATCATTTTCTTGTCTGTGAAATTAATGCTCTGTAAGGTTCATTTTTGCTAGACACCTTAAGGATATCAGTTTTCCTGAGTTGACTTTAATTAGCAACCCAAGTAAGACTGTATGGGAGTAAGGGTATGCGACCTTAGCAGGGGCATAGTCAAGCTCCCTGGTTTGCCTAATTTGCTGACGGGTTTCTGAGGCAAAGGCTCGCCCTCACCTGCAGATGGTCATTTGGCCAGGTGTCCAGGGTCGTGCTGGCCTGAGGGGCGGGGTGCCCCCCACTCCAAGCCGGTGGTTCCTTCTTGTTGAAGCCCCTCCATCCTTTTTCTGGCCTTTATCTATAAAGTGACAGCCACTTCCTTACATTCTACCAAGGAAGAGTAAGGCCAGACTGGCCGCAGTGGCTCATGCCTATAATCCCAGCACTTTGGGAGGCCGAGACAGGTGGATCGCCTGAGGTCAAAAGTTCGAGACCAGCCTGGCCAACATGGTGAAACCCTGTCTCTACTAAAAATACAAAAATTAGCTGGGCGTGCTGGCGGGCACCTGTAATCCCAGCTACTCAGGAGGCTGAGGCAGGAGAATTGCTTGAACCTGGGAGGCAGAGGTTGCTGTGAGCCATGATCACGCCACTGCACTCCAACCTGGGTGACAGAATGACACTCCATCTTAAAAAAAAAAAAAAAGAATAAGGTCATGCACAAGTCCTGGGGCACAAGTGTGATGGCCACCTGCGGTGCCTTAGGGGTAAGCCTGCTTCCCAGGTTGCTGTGTGGCTCAGGATAGGAGACATCCCAGGTCCTGCTTGGGGATCTCTGGTATTGAGCCCCCAACATAATTGCTAATAGAACAACAGAGACCCAGAATCAAACATTCTTTGGAGTCGTAGGCTCTTAGGACACGTGTAGCATTTTGCACTGGCAGTCCTTAATTTTCTCTGCCAGAACGATCCCAGGACTTTGGCAAACTGCTGAGGACCCCAGGCTCAGAGGTACTTGGGACTCTGGTTTTCTTACTGGCGGTGGAAGACATCAAAAGGCAATATAAAGACTGAGTGGAAGCTGGAAGTCGGTTTGGCTGAGAAATCCCTCCTGGCTCACGGGGTTGGGGGAGCGGGGAGTCAGGGAGGTGACCGAGCAGCGCCCCAGTGCACATTGTGTGTATTTAGGTTTGACGTTTTGGACCCGGGGGGTTTCAGAATAAAATGTCGTGTGCTGATTCCTCAGTGCCAGGAGGTGGTGGCCTTAACTCTCTTCTCCCCAGTGGATTCCGCGGCTTCAGGCAGCAAGCGGCACGCGGAACGTTCACCAGCAGAGGGCAGCGGAGGGGTTAACTCCCCAAATCACAGACTGAGAGAAGAGGAGGGGAGACCTGGTTTGGAGCAGTTCTCTCAGAGCCTGTGCAGGAGGCTTCCTTAATTCGCCTTCAGCCCGAGAGCTGGGCGTGGGAACAGCGTGGGGTCAGGGAGACCCCTGCTTGCCCTGGCCCAGAATATGGTGACTTAGGATTCAGACTGAGCATCCCTGATTCCCCAGCGCCTCCACCCTCAGGGAACCTGAATGGGGGGAAAAAATGTCCAATATGGAGAACAGCTTTGACGATGTTTCTTGCCTCTCTCCCCAGAACCTGGGATCCTCATCGCCAAGCAAAAAGCAGAGCAAGGAAAACACCATCACAGTAAGTGGCTCCCGAGGGGCGCCCTCAGGGTGGGCTGCGAGCTGGGGCATTTGGCTGGGCTGTTGCCATGGCGATGTGGACCGCCAAGCAGAAGTGATGCCCAACCTGGAAACGGGGAAGTTCCAAAGCTCGGATTTCACTCAAGTTCCCCATCCACATGCCCCTCCCACCTCCCCTTCTCCTGTCAATTTCACATTTCACTTCTCTCCTGGTGAACAAGTGGAAGGAGGATGGCTGGGATGATGCAGAAGCCGTTTTTTCAGGGCAGGAGGGGAAGGTATGCGTGCGGGAGTGGGTTGAAGGGGGTGGACTGTGCTCAGCGCAAGTGATGTGACGTGTAAATTACAGCCACGGCAGGGTTGCTTTTGTGCGGGGTAACTTCTGGAAGATGTCAAAGTAAAAAGCAAGAGAAAGCGTCCTAAGAATAGAGTTCCTAGGAGTCCCTGAGGGGAGCAGGCAGCTTCTGCCTAGAGTGGCCAGCCTGCCTCCCAGGGCGCTTCGAGATGCCCAACCCCATGTGGAGATGAGGGGGAGCCCACCCCACCCACCCCCATGCAGAGATGAAGGGGAGCCCCACACTCCACCTCTGCTCCTCAGCCCTGTGTTTGGGGCAGCTGGGGCTGGACATCATTGCCCCCTGAGGGGCACAGGCCTGAGAAGTGTGGTCGCAGGTTTGCTATTTTGGCACAAGGGCAGGAGAGCAGGGAACGGGGTATTGCTCTCTTAGGCTCCAACTCACACAGCTCTGAGCCATTCCGACCACCCCTGTGGAGACAAAACCAAGAGTGGGTGCATTTCCCTGCTTCGTCCAGGCTGCACATCCTGCTTTGGGAGAAAAAGTGTAGGTAAACAATTAACAATAACAATTGCTGCAACTTTTGTGTGCACTTATTATGCACATGTAGTGATCCAAGTGGCTCATTTAATTGTCCATTAGCTATATGAAGTGTCAGTCGTGGAATCAATATAGTATAACGATGATGAACGTGGACTCTGAGGCCAGAGTGTCGGTTATATTAATGACAGTGCAACAGCCTGGGGCAAGTTTCTTGACTTCTTCCCGTCTCAGTCAATAACTGTCAAGTGGGGAAATGGGGGGTAGTGGGTGGTCTCTGCCTTAGGGATGGTGTAGGGACTAAATGGGTCCATCCATGGAAAGCACTTAGAACAGAGCCTGCATATAGTAAGTGCTCTGTGCACACTCATCACCCTGTTTACAGATGAGGAAACTGAGGCACAGAGCCGCACCTTGCTCACGGTCACCCAGCTGGGAAGTATCAGGATTTGAAATCTATGTCCTTACCACAGTGCCCCTTCTGGAGCTGGCTTGGGTTCCTTGTGTCATGAGCTCCTTTGGAGTGCCCTGTGCTGATGGACGGTGTCTCCAAGGGCTGGGCAGAACGACTCAGCCTGCTTGGACTGTGGGGTAGCAGCAGCCTCCCTGTTACCGGTGGAGTTGATGGAGCTGGTGGGTAGGGGGTGTGGGCAGGCTCAGGTGCAGAGTTCCAGAGGGTACAGTCCCCATCTTCAAATTGTCACAAAATGCCCCAGAATGCTGGGGCACAGCAGGAGCTCTCCAGAGTCTTCTGAAATACATAAAAAGGAGGGGGAGGAGAAAGGGGGGGAGGTCGGAGTGGGAGACATATTTGAATTCTAGAAGAAAAACAAAAATGCAAAGTGAAAAGCAGAGTGTTATGTCGTGGAGGGTTGCCTTAAAGGCGCTTAGTGATGGTGCCCAGGCCACAGGGTGGGGCACCTGCTGGAGTCCATCTTACAGCCAGGGCTTCGGGTGTGGCCGGAGGGGGCTGATGGCGGCCCTTGTTGGGCCCCTGATGGGCAGCACACCTCGCCCATCCCTGCCTTCCCTGTCGCTTCCTGCTGAGCCATATCATTGCTTCTCATGAGGGAGTCTGCAAATTGTATTCTCAAGCCTCCAAGACCTTTTTTAAAATGCAGATTCCTGGATGGCACCCCAGACCTTCAGTTGTTTTCTCTGGGGCCAGACTGGAAAATCTGCATTTGAGCCAGTGTTCCCCAGAGGTTTTAAGTAAACACTCATGCCTTGGAGAATTTTTTTGCCAGAGAAACTGAGCAAAGGAGCGACTGGCCAGAGGTCACAAAACAAGTGAGGAGCAGAGCCCAGGACTTGAACCCAGGTCTCCTGGCTGCTGGCCCAGGACACTTCCCGGTGTACCACCTGGCCTTGGCCCACAGGTCTCCAGGCCTTGGTGCCTTTTCCCTTCCACACAACACCGCTCTCCCATGCCCAGCCTCTTCCTCTGGGTTCTGATCCTCCAGAGTTCATGGTTTCCCAAGAAGGAGATGCTCAGGGCGAAAGGGATGGCTCAGGTCTCAGGAGGCTGGGGCGTGAACTTCCTTTTCTGTGGTGTGTAGGGATGAGGTGAGCCGCTTCCCGTGCTGTCTGATCCCGCAGAGCAGAAATTTCCAGGCCTGGGCAGCAAAGGGTGGTGGATCCAGAGAAAGAATGGAGCTGGATTCTGACGCTCCTTTTTCCCCAGGCTATGGGTTTTCAGGGGACAGACACATGGGCCCCCTGACAGCAACGGGCAGGGGCTGGCAGCCTTGCTGGGTCTTGTTTCCGCTGTCCCTGGTGTGGGGCTGGCAGGTGGAGTGTGCTGTTTGATTGGGAGTGACGGGTGCTCATGGCAGCTCACAGCCCTTGGCAGGAGCATGAACGCGTCTGAATCTAGAGGGTTTCAGAAAAGATGACAGCAAAGCCACCCGGCCACACTCTCACCTGGAAAGAGGAATTTGGGGACACCTGTGGTCCTCAGCTTCAGGGCTTCCCAGCGTAGCCACAGAACCCGGGGTAGGGGCTGGAGGTGAACCCTTGGGGTCCTGTCTACTCTTCTTCTCTGTTCCACAGAGCTCCGGGGCTGGCTTGTTCCTCTCCCATACCCTCCCAGATCAGCTTTCCTCTGGGAGAAAATTCAGAGCCTGTTGGACTTGAACCCTCAGTTGTCAAACCATTTTCCCTTCTCTGCTGCAGGCAAGGTGGTCAAACAGGCCGTGCAAGAAGCCTGTGGCCTCTGTTCCCCACAGGCTCCTGCTGGGCCAGGACTTAGGGGAGGGGCATGCCTTGGGGCCTCCGTATGTCAGCCCCCTTGGTCACACGTGTGTTCAGTGGCTCTCACACCTCAGCCAGGTGGTTTTCTGGCTGCTGTGTCCCACTGCGTACCCCTCAGAGAGCTTCTGGGAGGCAGCCCATGTGCTTCTGGCTGCTCCTGTGCGGAAAAGCCCTGCAGGAACCCCAGCTGCACAGTGGACCCCAGCAGCTGGGGAGCGATGGGGGTGTCACTCCATTTACCTGAGGGTTGGAGAAAACAGAGTTGGTGCAAGAGCGAAGACGCGGCTTTGTTGAGGACACTGGTCTCGGGGGAAGTGAGGGTGGGACTGCCTGCTGGAACTTGCCCTGAGCAGTACACACGGGGAGGCGTGCCCCTCTCTGGCTCCCTCTTGAGCACCCTTCCTTTTTGAGCCCCTGCCTTTGGTGGGGACCTGGCACATTTATACCTCAGTGTGTTGGAAAGGTAGTGTGACAGAGGCTAAGAGCCTAGACTGAAGCCGGCTTGCGTGGGTTCAGAGCCTGGGTCCACCTATTCCATGCACAAACTGTGTGATCTTGCATAAGTGACTTAGCCTCTCTGTGCCTCAGTTTCCTTATCTGTAAAATGGGGATAATAATAGCACCTGCCTTGCAGGGCTGTTGTGAGGATTCAATGAGCTAATACGTGTAAAACGCTGAGAACTGTGGCTGGCACATTATTTGCTTTTGTTGAACAAACAGAAAGTGGATCTTTAGGATGGCAGTGAAGCTCCTGCTATGCCTGGGAGGCCTTGGGAGGAGGATGAGGTCTTTCCAGAGGTGTAGCTGGACCCTGGTATTAACCATCAGGAAAATGTAACCGGGGGGAGGACAGGAATCCACATGCGGAAAGTCCTGTCCCACCTTCTCTTCCCTCCTTGGGCTTTGGAGCACCGCAGGGTGGAGCTGTGTGGCCCTCTCAGCCCTTCTGATCCAGGGACCTAGGAGCCTTGACTTTGAGGTCTGGATGTCACAGAAGGACACAGCAAGGATAAAAGTGGTGGCCCAGGAATTAGGAAGCTGGTTCTGGACCCTGCTCTGCCACTTATAGTGAACTAGAATTAAACATTCTGTGTCTCAGTTTCCTCATCTGTGCATGAGGTTGCACTAGACCATTGCAAATAAACATCGAGGCTCCAGTTGCTTCCAGGACATCTGCGCGCACACACCTCTCACCATGCCCCTCTGCTGCCACTGCCTCCCTCTCTCCGAAGGGACTGTTCTTCCATCTTCCATCCCAATGGATGGAAACATGCTTCCTCTCCACCCAGGTCAGTCAACTCAGGGTTTCTCAGCCTCAGCACCATTGATCTTTTGGGTTGGATAGCACTTTGTTGTGGGGAGCTGTCCCGTGCATTGTAGATATGTATCACCTTCCCTGGCCCCTACCAACCAGAGGCTAATAGCATCCACCCTCGACCCCACACAGCTGTGACAACCAAAAATGTCTCCACGTTGCTAGATGTTTCTGGGGTGGGGGAAAAATTGTCCCTGGATGGGCATCACTGAATTGACTTCATGGTGCTGTCAAGGGCTACCTGTAGAGTATCCCAGGCTTCTTCTAATCCCCTCTTGACTATGCTGCTCCCAGCTGCTATCATGACCCCCCACCCCCCACCCCCCATCCCCCATCACTGCAGACTGCCCTGATGGCCACAGTCACGTTCTCCCTCCAGTGCATCCTCTATGCTGTAGTGGGGGTGCTCACCCCAGACAACAGCCTGATTAATTGTTACTCTCCTGCAGGGTGCTTCTGTGGCCCCCGCTGTCCTGCTGCCTTCAGGACAGACCTTGGCACCCCTGCAAGACCCCCTCTCAGCTCAGTCTTGTCTACTCCCTGACTCAGGAGCAGCCAGAAGCACAAGGGCTGCCTCCCAGAAGCTCTCTGAGGGGTACGCAGTGGGACACAGCTCAGCCAAACCGAGCAACGCGGTCCCCACCTGTAGGGCATATCCTCTCATCCTGAGTCCTTTCCCTTCCTGCAGTACCCTTCTCACCTTCCCACCCCTCTGTCTGCCTGGGCCCTACTATTATTACCTAAATCTAAGATTCCTCCCCTGGACCCTCAGTCCTTCCAGTAACCTCAGCACCTCAGGCTTACTCCACTGGCAGGTTTATCCCAAAGAATTACAGTGACTTATTTACGGAACTGTTGAGAGCAGAGATGATGCCTTACATTCCTAGCCTCCGGCCACTGCACCAAGAAACATCTCCTGAGCACCCACTATGTACCCAACACTGCACCAGTCAGGAGGGAAATGGCAGGGAAAAGATGGTCCCCATCCCCTTGTAGAACAGGCTGTCTGGCAAGGAGGAGAAACATTAAATAAACCATCACGAGAAATATCATTACAAATGTATGCATGCAGCTTGCTGGGAAGAGCTAGCGTAGCACGTGGCACTGAGCAGCCTTTCAACAGATGTTCGAATGGAAAGTGAACGAGCAAATAGCCCATCACATAGCTTCGTGGTCGAGGCTGGAGCTCTGCAGTCAGCTGGATCTGGATTCGGATACCTCGCTTCTGTGATCCTCAGTTTCCTCATATACGATGAGGCTGTTCTTCCTCCCCTGTGGAGTTGCTGGGAAGATGAAATGAGAATACATGCAAAGCCCTAAAGAGGGTGCCTGAGTCAGGGCTCCCCTGCAGGAGTGAGGATTTGGAGAAATCCCAGTGGGCTTCCTGGGAGGGAGAAATCCCAAAATGAGAGAGGACAGAGACAGTGGCAGGCACCTCGGGGCTCCATCTGAGGACTGGTATCCTCAAGGAGTGGCAGAAGCAGCAGGGTGATGAGTCCTTAATGAGTCCTCACATTCTACTGCCTTTACTCTTCTGCCCCAACCTGTTTTCTGTTCCTGCATTCGTTTGCTAAGGATAATGGCTTCCAGCTCCATCCATGTCCCTGCAAAGGACATGATCTTATTCTTTGTTACAGCTGCATAGTATTTCATGTTGTATATGTACCACGTTTCCTTTATCTAGTATATCGTTGATGGGCATTTAAGTTGATTCCATGTTTTTGCTATTGTGAATAGTGCTGCAATGAACATATGCGTCCATGTGTCTTTATGTGGAAAGATTTATATTCCTTTGGGTATATACCCAGTAATGGGATTGCTGGGTCGAATGATAGTTCTGTTTTTAGTTCTTTGAGGAATCACCACATTGCTTTCCACATGGTTGAACTAATTTATGCTCCCTCCAACTGTGTATAAGTGTTCCCTTTTCTCTGCAACCTTGCCAGCACCTGTTATTTTTTGACCTTTTTAATTATAGCCATTCTGATTGGCATGCCATGATATCTCATTGTGGTTTTGATTTGCCTTTCTTTAATGATTAGCGGTGATGAGCATTTTTGCATATGCTTGTTGGCTGCACATATGTCTTCTTTTGAAAAGTGTCTGGGCCGGGCGCGGTGACTCACGCCTGTAATCCCAACACTTTGGGAGGCCAAGGTGGGTGGATCACCTGAAGGTCAGGAGTTCGAGACCAGCCTGACCAACATGGTGAAACCCTGTCTCTACTAAAAATACAAAAATTAGCCGGGCATGGTGGCAGGCACCTGTAATCCCAGCTACTCGCGAGGCTGAAGCAGGAGAATCGCTTGAACCCGGGAGGTGGAGGTTGCAGTGAGCTGAGATCATGCCATTGCACTCCAACCTTGGTGACAAGAGCAAAACTTTATCTCAAAAAAAAAAAGAAAAAGTGTCTGTTCATGTCCTTTGCCCACTTGCCATGTAGGATCTTAAGAGCAGGGCTCTGTGGCTTGTTTATCTGTGTGTCTTCCATTGTGGTGGGCACAAGGTCTCCCCCAGGGGCTGTCCCTGTCCCTGCTAAATGGATCACGAATGCTGGTTCTCAAAGTGTGGTCCCTGGACCTTCAGCATCACTTGAGAGCTCAGACCCCATCCAGAGCTCCTGAATCAGACAGTGGGGGGTGGGACCCAGCAACCCATGTCCTCTAGGTGACTCTGAGGCATGTTCATCCTCGACTCTGGGACAAGAAGGGGACTGAGTGGTACTTAGGTGGGTCTCAGTCCTCCTCAGGACTTCCATGGCCTTTTAGGTGGTTGGCTTGGAGCCAGCCAGGATGCATCATTGAAGGGGCTGTCCTTGGTACCGTCTCCTCTTCCGGCTAGCAGTCTGTCTGCACAGGCCTGCTGGGGTGCACGGTGGCATCCTCACTCTGAGGGTAAGTCAACTCAGGAAGATTCTGGGGGGAACAAGACTGGCCAAGACCCATTTCTCCTCCTGCCTGCCCCACGTTTTGGCCAAGCCTCTTCCTGACATGGGAAAGTCCTTTCTTCTTGTTTTTTTTTTTTTTTTTTTTTTTTTTGAGACAGAGTTTTGCTCTTGTTGCCCAGGCTGGAATGATGCAATGGCGCAATCTTGGCTCACCGCAACCGCCACCTCCCAGGTTCAAGCGATTCTCCTGCCTCAGCCTTCCCAAGTAGCTGGGATTATAGGCATGCGCCACCAAGCCTGGCTAATTTTGTATTTTTAGTAGAGATGGGGTTTCTCCATGTGGGTCAGGCTGGTCTCCAACTCCCGACCTCAGGTGATCCACCCATCTCGGCCTCCCAAAGTGCTGGGATTACAGGCATGAGCCACCGCACCTGGCCAGGAAAGTCCTTTCTTTGTAGGGAAGTGTTTCCCCGACAAGAGGGCAAGGCCAAGAGCAGTTTGAGTGAGGAAAGACGATGGAAAGGGGAGAGATGCCCGCAGGGCAGGCCACTCCAGAAGCATTCAGACCCGCCTCTGAGTACCCACAACTCTACTCGTTCCATCATTCTTAATGCTCAATTTACTTTAATGTCATAGTTAATTTATCATTAAATTTGATTGAAATTTTCATGGACTGCATTATTCAGTAACATAAAGATGGACTGTGATGACTGTGATTTGTTGAAATAAGAATAATTGGAATACAAAATAAGGAATCTGTGCACTTTTGAAACCCGTCCCTTGTTTTCATGATTGCCTGCTTGGCAGTGGGTTGTGGAGGCACAGGAAGGAAGGAGACTTGTCTCTGGACACACCTTGGGGACTCGGCCCGAAACCAAGGCTTGGGGCTTTCTGCTGCTGGCCTCAAGAACTGGCCCTCCCTTCTCTCACTGAGGCTGCTGAGGCCTGGGAGAAAACTCCCCAGCCTCAGCTGATCTTCATCTAGCCTTTGTTTTTTTAATCCATCACAGTGCTAATTTTTTAGAGTTCAGGAAGCTGTGCACCTTTTTTTTTTTTGAGACACAGTCTCGCCCTGTCACCCAGGCTGGAGTGCAATGGCGCGATCTCGGCTCACTGCAACCTCCACCTCCCGGGTTCAAACAATTCTCCTGCCTCAGCCTCTCGAGTAGCTGGGATTACAGGCGCCCACCACCATGCCCGGCTAATTTTTGTATTTTCAGTAGAGACAGGGTTTCACTATGTTGGCCAGGCTGGTCTCCAACTTCTGACCTTGTGATCCGCACACCTGGGCCTCCCAGATTGCTAGGATTACAGGCGTGAGCCACCACACGCTGCCACAAGGTGCCTTTTAAAAAACTATCTTGATTTTCCCCACTTATCATTAGATTCAGATTAAATATTTTTGACAGGATTTTTTTTTAACTTAGGCTAAAGTGCAGTGATATAATCATAGCTCACTGCAGCCTCAACCTCCCAGGCTCAAGAGATCCTCCTGCTTCAGCCTCCCAAGTAGCTGGGACTACAAGTGTGTGCCACCATACCTGGCTAGTTTTGTTTTTTATTTTTTGTAGAGACAAGGTTGTGCTATGTTGCCCAGGCTGGTCTTGAACTCCTGAGCTCAAGTGATCTGCCCGCCTTGGCTTCCCAAAGTCTTGGGATTACAGATGTGAGCCACCATGCCCTGGCCAGGAATCTTACATAGATAATGTTGTATTCTTAGAAGTTACACATTTTGAAAAGGAGAAAGAGGCCCAGCACAGTGGCTCATGCCTGTAATCCCAGCACTTTGGGAGGCCGAGGAGGGTGGATCACTTGGGGTCAGGAGTTTGAGACCAGCCTGGCCAACGTGGTGAAATCCTGTCTCTGCTAAAAATACAAAAACTAGCCAGGTGTGGTGACATGCACCTGTAATCCCAGCTACCCGGGAGAGGCTGAGGCAGGAGAATCACTTGAGCCAGTGAAGCAGAGGTTGCAGTGAGCCGAGATCGTGCCACTGCACTCCAGCCTGGTGACAGAGCAAGATTCTGTCTAAAAAAGAAAGGGAGGGAGGGAGGGAGGGCAGGAGGGAAGGAGGGAGGGGAAGAGGGAAAGAGGGAGGGAAGGAGGGAGGGGAGGAGAGGAGGAGAGGAAGGGAGGAGGGGAGGAAGGGAAGGAGAAAGAGAAGAAGGGATTATCCTTGGCAGAATTTGGTGCAGCCCTGTCATCTCCAGGGTCGTCCACGTCATTCCTGCCTCTGATCCTTCTGCTGAGTTGTGTTTCCCTCTAGGGTGGTGGGGACCTCAGCCCTCACCTTAACCACATGTAAGGATCTGGGAGGAGGAGGCTCCTTCTTTTGTTGGGGACTTCTCCCCAGACTGCGACTGAGGTCTGTGCCCTGGCAGCTGGGGAGGGGGTGTGCGCTAGATTTACTTCTAGCCACCCAGGAGCTTCCTGAACCAGAGGTCACAACGGGAGGTCCATGGGCCTGACTTTGCTGACAGAAGAGTTTGTTGGGCCTACATGGTGTTATTGTGTTTATTATTATTGTTTTTAACCTTGAATTAATTGCCAACACTTAAAAATGGAGACACTTTGCATAAAAGTCCCCATTTTCAGCTTCCCTCGAGTCATCACATAATCCGTCAGCACTGGACTCCTCAGAAGGGCTTGACGACACTTGGCAAGAGCTGAGCAGGATCTGCCCCTTGGACGCATCTCTGCAGCCTCTGGCCCCTGCCCAAAGAGCTGAGCAGGATCTGCCCCTTGGACGCATCTCTGCAGCCTCTGACCCCTGCCCAAAGCAGATGCTGTCCGCCCTCCTATCCCAGCTGCAGTTTCTGTGACGCTGTCCGCCCTCCTGTCCCAGCTGCAGTTTCTGTGACGCCTGGGTACCTCACTGGCTTGCACACCCCGCCTAGCATTGGAGTTTGTGTCCTGGGCCCAAAACCTCAGGGCTGCATCATTTTTTAATGTGTGACATTTTCCACTTCAGCAGGTGCTTGGGCTGCAAGAAGGGGTTAAAGACTTATAAGGCTCAGGCCTTGCTCCCACAGAGGAAGCAAATTAGCCCGCGTCCTAGGAGAGGTGGGAATCTGGGGCCTGAAGCCACCTCCACACAATGGGGAAAAGCCAGGCAGTATTGCAGATGTGCTCGGGCAGAAAAGGCTGAGATGACCTGAAAATTTCTGTACTTCACGCTCCTTAGCTAGGGCCAGCCTTACACGTGCAACCCAGATTTTTTTTTTTTTTTGAGGGGGAGTCTCACTCTGTCACCCAGGCTGGAGTGCAATGGCACAATCTCGGCTCACTGCAACCTCTGCTTCTTGGGTTGAAGCGATTCTCCTGCCTCAGCCTCCTGAGTAGCTGGGATTACAGGCACATGCCACCACGCCTGGCTAATTTTTGTGTTTTTAGTAGAGAAGGGGTTTCACCATATTGGTCAGGCTGGTCTCGAACTCCTGACCTCATGATCCACCTGCCTCGGCCTCCCAAAGTGCTGGGATTACAGGCGTGAACTGCCGTGCCCGGCCCCCCAGATTATAATTTTAAGGTGTATTTGTTCGTATGATACACATCGTGACATAAAATTTGCAAGGTAATCTCTCACCCCTGACCCTCACCCACACAGTTCCTTTCCTTGGAAGCAAACAATGTTATCAGTTTCCAGGAATATTCTATATGCAAATAACCAGATGTGTATTATACAGGTGACCCTTGAACAACATGGGAGCTAGGGGTGCCCCCTCCTCACCCATAGTCCAAAATTGACATATAACTTTGAACTCCCCAGAACTTAACTACTAATAGCCTCTTGTTGAGTAGAAGCCTTACTGACATGAACACATATTTTGCATGTTTATGTGTATTATACACTGTATTCTTACAGTAAAGTAAGCTAGAGAAAATAAAATGTTAAGACAATTATAAACAAGAAAAATATAATTACTATTCTTTAAGTGGAAGTGGGTCATCCTCAAGGTCTTCATCCTCAACATCTTCACATTGAATGGGCGAAGCAGGAGGAGGAAGAGGAGGGGCTGGTCTTGTCTTCCTTTTTGAAAAGGAACTATAATACTCTGCTTGCTTTTTTTTTTTTTTTGTTTTTAACCTTCACCTAACCATATATCCTGGCACATTTTCCTTGTTAAATTTTCTTTTTTTTTTTTTTGAGACATAGTTTCGTTCGTACAATGGCATGATCTCAGCTCACTGCAAGGCTGGAGAGCAATGGTGCCATCTCGGCTCACTGCAACCTCTGCCTCCCGGGTCCAAGTGGTTCTCCTCCCTCAGCCTCCCGACTAGCTGGGATTACACGCATGCGCCACTACGCCCAGCTAATTTTGTATTTTTAGTAGAGACGGGGTTTCTCCCTGTTGGTCAGGCTGGTCTCGAACTCTCAACCTCAGGTGGTCCGCCTGCCTCGGCCTCCCAAAGTGCTGGGATTACAGGCGTGAGCCACCGCGCCCGGCCGCTTTCCTAATTAAATTTAAGAACTTCATCACCATGTCCTTTCTGATTTCCATAGATGTCTATCTCATACTTTGTTTAACCATTCCCCCACTGATGGACATTGGAGTTGTTTTCCAGCCTTTAACGGCCATAAATAGCGCTGTCGTGAAAAAGCGTGTGTGGATGTCACTGCCCCCATGCAACTGTATCTGTATGATAGACTCTTGTGCAATTGCTGGGTCAAAGGCACCTGAAGTTTGCAATTTTGATCCTAGTAAACTGCCATCTAGAGAGGTGGTACTGGTTCACAGCCCATTTGGGGTGGGGGTGAGCACCTGTTGCCGCTCATGTGAAATGCTGGCCCCTGGAGCACGGGAAGATCCCTGTGCGTGTTCTGTCAATAGGGAGGCTGCTCCAGTGCCGTGTCCCCCAGGAGCCGAAGCCTTCCTCGCTATTCCAGTCTCCAGCGGGGTCATTCTTTCTTGTTCTGTGCCCTACAGATAAACTGTGTGACGTTCCCTCACCCAGACACGATGCCGGAACAGCAGCTGCTGAAACCAACCGAGTGGAGCTACTGCGACTACTTCTGGGTAAGCAGCGCCTCAGTTTCCCCCACAGCGTGACCCCGGTGACCGGGAGTGGACACCCAGGATGGGTAGGAGGGACCTGGATCTCAAAGTGGAGGGGCCTTTCTCGTTGGAGCGTGAAGGGCTGGTGTTAGAGTTTGCATCTGTGACAGGAACTTAGGACCCTCTTGGGGTCCAGCTCATTCCATGAATCTCAGGGGTTCAGCAGGACTTTTGTTCACATTACAGACACTTCAACCAGAATGTAGGTAAGCGGGGGGCCATTTTCTCCGATGCTCAGTGAAGGCAGGAGACTAGAATCTGCCTCAATAAATGAACGTGGGCTCCATACCTGCTTGTCACTTACGTGAGTGACGTTGGACAAGTGCTTCACCTCCTTGGGCCTCAGTGTTCTCATCAGAATTGTGAGGCAGTTGGGCACAGGATCTTCAGAGAGCTCCAGCTTGGGTAATCCTGTAGTTTTAAAACGTTTGCAGATCACTTAGCGAACACAGAGTTTTAGTTTTGCAAGATTAAAGACAATTTTGCAGGTGGATGGTGGTGATGGTCGCACAACCATGTGAATGTACTTCATGCCACTGAACTGCATTCTTAAAAATGGCTAAAATGGTCCGTTGTGTGCTAGATGTATTTTTTTCACCATTCAAATAAATAAATTTGTAGAAATGCAGAGTCCTGTACCTCAGAATATCCTGGGAATGGTCCTGGGCCATTTGCATGTTAAAGTCATAGTGACTTTCAGAATTAGATCACCCCTTTCTGGAATCAGATAGTGGGGATGGTCACAAACCCTGTGAATGTATTGAAAACCACTAAATTGTACATTTCAAAAAAACAAGTGTCCAAAGACTCCAAGGAACAATAAATAAGTAAAAACTTTGTTTTCACCACTTTGCAAGAATGGATTTTTTGAGACAGAGTCTCACTCTGTCTCACCCAGGCTGGAGTGCAGTGGTGTGATCTTGGCTCACTCCAGCCTCCACCTCCCAGGTTCAAGCGACTCTCCTGTCTCAGCCTCCTGAGCAGCTGGGACTACAGATGTGTGCCACCACACCCAACTAATTTTTTGTATTTTATTTTATTTTTTTAATAGAGACAGGATTTCATCATGTTGGCCAGGCTGGTCTCAATCTCCTGACCTCAGGTGATCCACCCACCTTGGCCTCCCAAAGTGCTGGGATTACAGGCATGAGCCATCGTGCCCAGCCGGATTATCTACACTTTTTTAGATTTGCTAACCGAATACTAGATAAAAGTGCTTTTCTCTTTCTACAAAATCGCTTGTACCTTAGAAGATATACAAAGATCCCTGTTGCCTACACCTCTCACCAAGGCACAATTTCTGTAGCTCCAGCTGTGCTGTGTCCAGGGTAGAGATCTGTGCATTGGTTGAGGAAACAGTATAAAGGGGCTTATCTTTGGCATCAGACAGACCTGGGCAGGTGAGCTCAGAGGGCGGGGTAAGCAAGCATCGGGGTAAGCAAGCATCAGAGTGCGTAAGACTTTCTAGGCCCCAGTAAGTGAGTTTTATTCTGCTTGTGGAAGGAGGGTGTTAGAAGGTCTTAAGCAGCAATATGATGTGATCTGATTCATAGGCATTGTGCAGGTGGGGGTGGGAAGTTGACGGGTGAGTGGAAGAGACCAGGAAAGATGGTGGTGGCGGCAGAGAGGGAGAGATGTACCTGGGTTTGGAAACATCATCTCTCAAGAGGGGTGCAGTAAATGGAGGGTTCAAGGAGAGAGTGGTTTGAGCCCTGGAAATGGGTATCCTAGTTGCTGGAGGTCAGCGTGTGGGGTCTCAAGCCTTGGAAAGCTGGTAGGAATGTCTGATGCCGCCTGCATCCAGCAGCATCCGGAGGGCGACACTTGTGAGTTCTTATCTTAATTCGAGCTCTCTGGGGACTCTGATACTTAATCTGCAATCCACTTATCCCCCTGACCATCAAGGCCTTTTCCATTAATAGAAATTTCTCTCTCCTGACACAGTCATTAAAGCCTGTTTCTTCTGGCTGGTTTTCCCCAGAGTGCATAGCTCAGCATATCCATCCTAGAAGGGAGGCAGATTTGAGCTCAGTATTTGGATAATTTTCCTTCTGCTTTTTCATCAAGATGTAGCATTCGTAGAGTGAAGCACAGAGATCTTCAGTGGACATTGCTTTTAAACTGCAAGAACAGCCCGACTGTGACCCCGTAGGATGGTGATCTCCCTGTCATCAGGGATGTTAGCAGCGTGGCCGGAGGCCTTTGAGTTATGGCACCCGAGGGAGGGGTCCCACACCGGGGGAACTGGGAAGGTGTCCATAAAATCCTTCATCTACTTGATGATGGTAAATGGGGTTCCCTGCAGGCATCAGCAACCCCTTTTCTTTCCCCTCTCCTAAAATGTCTGATCTGGATGGGATCTGAGAGATGCAACCCACCCCTATTTCAAGGGGGTGGTCCGGGGAGATACTACCTAGGATTGGACACCCTGCAGCTGAGCAGAGACAAGAACCTGGGTCCTACCAGATGCTGGGACACTGTTCTCACCAATGCACCTCTCTCTCTGGGATATCAAAAACCTGTTCTGAACACCTTCCATTAAGTATCAAAGTGTTTGACCCTGGGTTCCTGATAGGGAAAAGCTGTAAGGAGGAGGACACTTTTAGACATGCCTGGGATGGCCCTGGGAGCTGGTGCTCCAGCAGCCACGGCCGTGCGGGCAGATGTGTGGGTGAATCTCAGGCAGGGGAATGGCAGGGAAGGGGCATTTGGTATGCTTGAAGAAATGCAGGTAAAATAAAATAAATCATTTAATTTTGAAATTTTAAGAATATTTGTTTGCAAAATTAATTGGCTGCTAAGTACTTATTTCATTGACTTGCCCATCCTCCCCAAGTTTGGACTTTTATTTAAAAGTAACTAATAACAGATGCCATTTATTGGGTACATAGTATGTGCTCAGCAATGTGCTCAGATATATACATAGGTCATTTACCCTGAAATGACCACATGAAGGTGGGGCTGTTATTTCGTCAGTTTTGCAGATGAAAAAGCTTAGGCCTGGAGTGAGTGAAGAACTTGGCCAAGGTCACCCAGCTAGTATTTCAGGGCAGCCTGTCCTGTTCTCTCCTCCGGCCTCCCTTCAACCCACTTTCTCTCTATGATTTACTTTTCTCTCCTGTGATCTTGTATGAATGTGTGGTTAGAGGGTGTCACTGCCCTACCAGTGTAAGAAGTTGGTAGAAGACAGGATGGCTTAAGGCTGGGGGTACCTGCTCCTGAGCTCACACATAGTCCAGCTTGGAGTCAGGATGCCAAGATTCGCCGAGGGCCAAGCCAGATCTGCAGCCACCTGGTTGGAAGTCGTAGGCCGTTAGGCATCACAGCCGGTGCTCTTGGACACTTGCCCTTCTTCCTCTCAGTTCCCAGGTTGGGAGAGTTAAGGGGCTTGGATGTGGGGATGCAGCAACTGTAAGAGCCTGAGCATCAGAAAGCGCTGTTGGGAGTGGGGGCACCAGGAGAGAGATCCGAGTTAGGGCAGCAGAGACAGCTGCTCCCGCGTCTTGTGCTGGACTGGGATTGCCAGGCACATCTAGGAGCCGTCCTCCCTCTACGCCATTCTCCCTGGCTCCAGACTCAGACGTGCCCTAAACTCTTGTGCTTCTGCTTCCTTTGTAGGCTGATAAGAAGGACCCCCAAGGCAACGGCACCGTGGCTGGGTTTGAACTACTGCTCCAGAAACAGCTGAAGGGCAAACAAATGCAGAAGGAAATGTCAGAATTCATCCGGGAAAGGTGAAGCCTGGGCCCCTCCCAGCCCTGGGGCCTGGCACCAGTGTTCCCCGGGGCCCCGTGGCCGGGGCGGGGCGACAGCACAGGACTCAGTACTGCACACTCAGCATTGGGCTGGTTAGCGCCAGGCGGCAAACTCATGGCGCCTGGGATGGATCTGGTCAGCAGTTGTGTACCTTTGGCCGATATAGTGTTTTTAAATATTGAAAGCAACACTTAAAAAAATGGGTAGATTTCATATTAAAATCTGGATATTTAGCACACCTTGAAAGAGCAGAAGCATTGGCAGGATTGCCTCCACATCCCTCACGCGACACTTGGCTGGAGCTGAGTAGCAGCTACTCTTGTAGAGGGGGTGTGTGTTCCCATTTTGCCAGTCTCCACCATTCCGTACTGTCTTCCCCCGCAGACTCCTTCACTCCTTTACTTATGTACCTGGCCATCATTTGAAGCACAGCCCTTTACCGTAACCAGTGGGGGGGATGTTACAGTTCAATTCATCGTTAGCCAAAACCTGTGTCCCAGGGCAGGAGATGTTGAACCCTCCTCCTACCCCATCCCTGCCTCAAGGATTATAACAGTGTTTTGTCTAAAGAGCTTGGGAACACAGATGAAGAAACAATAAATTCAGCCCAATGGAAATGGAGAAATCGACAAAGAGAAAGAGAAGTTCCTTCTCTATCTCCTTCCTCCTCTCTCTCTGTCTCCAAGTTCTGAGGCTCTGTTCAGCACACACTCACATACCCACAGCTGCACATACCCACCTATCACCCATGTGCACACACACACAAACACACAACTTTCCACCTGGAGTTGGAAATATAGCAAATTGCAATATCTTTTTAAAATATTTCTTTTTTTTTTTTCTTTTAGACAGAGTCTCGCTCTGTCATCCAGGCTGGAGTGTAGTTGCGCAGTCTTGGCTCACTGCAACCTCCATCTCCGGGGTTCAAGCGATTCTCCTGTCTCAGCCTCTGGAGTAGCTGGGATTACAGGCATGTACCACCACGCCCAGCTAATGTTTTGTATTTTTAGTAGAGGTGGGGTTTCACCATGTTGGCCAGGCTGGTCTCGAACTCCTGACCTCAGGTAATCTGCCCGCCTCAGCCTCTCAGAGTGCTGGGATTAGAGGCATGAGCCACTGTGCCAGACCAAAAATATTTCCTTTTTAATTATAACAGCAATAATCAAGTAATAATGCTTCGGCGTTTTGAAGCACCCCTTTCCCTTAGAGGGCCTATTTTCATATGAGATCGGATGTGTTCAGGGTGGTATGGGCATAGACAGAGGGCCTATTTTCAATTTGTGTAATCAAATCCTTATTTTATGACCCATTAAACTGGTGGGAAACGGAGAGGTTGCACAGCTCGGGTTTGAGAAAACAATGGTATAAAATAGGCAAATAGGAAAATTGCTGTAAAAGCCAAAGCTTGAACACGCTTATGGTTTATATTTCCATGACAACGTCTTGTTAGCAAATAATTGGAAACTGCCATTTCAGGACATTCCGGGCTTCCTAGAGAAAACGCATACACCATCCACCTTGGGATCTCATAGGGAAGGCCCTTTAGTGCCAGGAGAGGTGAGAGCTGAGGCTCAGAATTGGGAGCTCGCCTGGCTTGAGGACAGGTGCTGGCTGGTTTGCTGGGATCTTGGTTTAGAGAAGTGGGGCAGAGGTAGAGGTGACGCACGCTGTCGTCCTGGAGGTGAGACACAGGAGGCAGACAGCGTATGCACCTCGTGTGTCTGGTGCATGCTGTCGGCATTGAGGAGCCGGGAGCGTGGCATGGATAGATCTACTTTCTAGATATCTCTCTTGACCACAGTCTGGAGGTGAAGGTAGGGGGATGGAGAGGAAGTGACAGAGGCAGATCAGTTGGAATGAGACTCAGGAGGACCTAGAGACCAGTTGAAGGTGGAGGTGAGGGGAAAGCAGTGCAAGAAGGAACGAGATTGTGAGTCTCCTGATGCCAAGTCATGCAATTATTATTACTCGGAATGCTGCCGCCAGACTTTGTCAGCCGCCCTCTCTCCATCATCGCACCCTTTGGGTGCCAGCTGCTTGAGCAGCTGGGAAGCAAACGCTGTGGTCCCAGCATCTCTGGAGCTTCTCTGTTCACCGTGTGGTGGACCAGGGGCTCTCCGAAGCCTGGGCTCTGGCCAGCTCTGGTTGGCATAAGCATAGCTCTTCTGTCTCCCACTGTGGCCCAGAGGACCACTTAGGTGGTGAACAATACCTCTGACAACATGCTTAACATGGACGTGCCAGATAATACAGGACACTCCCTGGGGAGTTGCCTTGCAAATGTGTCAAAGGCCTGCCTGCCGGAAGCTACATCCAAGGCAACTTTCCTCTCCAGGGAAATAGAATCTACCTGCAGCCCTGGGCACTGCTAGGTTTCCGTGGAAGTACTTGTACCCAGCAGGCTTGACAATCAGAGGCATTGGGGGTGTGAGACAGTAGGGAGATGTTCTGTTCTGCTGCTGAGGGTCCGAGGCCACCTGGGAGTTCTGGGGCTGGAAGGGAGAGGGGACAGCACTGGGGATTGCTGGTAGTCCATCACGAGTTGCAAACGTTCATTTCTTCCTTCATTCATTTATTGGTTCAGGGGTCTTATGTTTCCCGTTCTGTGCTAGGAACTGTGTAAACGACAGCTCTCGTCTTCACAGCTCTAGGAGACCGGAGAAAATGTCCTACTTTGCAGATGAGGAGATGGAGGTCCAGACAGTTTTGTTCATTCATTTATCCAACAAGTATTTATTAAGCACCTACTGCATGTCAGGTAGACAGACAAGAGCCATGTGGTCTCAGAGCTTATGGTCTAGTGGGTTCCTTTCCACGGCTGAGGTGTGCAGGGCAGCAGGGCAGACCCACGATCTGGCACTGGAGAGCTGATGTGTGTTGGGTTTTCTCTCTTTGCAGGATAAAGATTGAAGAAGACTATGCGAAGAACTTAGCTAAGCTCTCTCAGAACTCCTTGGCTTCACAGGAGGAAGGGTGAGTGGGTAGGAGAGAGGTGGGAGTGGGGAGGATGGGGGGTCACTGAGGAAGGGAAATCAGCCACTATCACTGATCACTGGCATGGCCCCACTTTGGATGGGGAGCTCTCCATAGGCCTGGCTCAAGGTGGGCACTCATGGCTCAGGTAGGTGCTCATGACTTGGGTGGGCACCCATGACTCAAGGTGTGGGCATCCACACTCAAAAGGGCACTTCCAGCCGGGCGGGTGGCTCACACCCATTATCCCAGCACTTTGGGAGGCCGAGGCGGGTGGATCACAAGGTCAGGAGTTCGAGACCAGCCTGGCCCACATAGTGAAACCCCATCTCTACTAAAAATACAAGAATTAGCCGGGCATGGTGATGAGTGCCTGTAGTCCCAGCTACTTGGGAGGCTGAGGCAGGAGAATGGCGTGAACCCAGGAGGTGGAGCTTGCAGTGAGCTGCGATCGGGCCACTGCACTCCAGCCTGGGCGACAGAGCGAGACTCCGTCTCAAAAAAAAAAAAAGGCACTTCCACATTGTCTTCTCTTTAGTGACCAAGAGCCACGTTCCAGATGTTGAAGTATGTCAGAATCCCCTCTGGTCTGACCCCTGGTAGCTGGGCAGCAGCCTCTAGATGCCCACTCCAGCCTCCCTTTGTCTAGGGGCAGGCTGGGAGGAAGCTGCGTATGAGAGGGTATTGTACCTGGCCGCTTTGTCTGGAGCTCTCTCCTGTGGGCTTGAGGCATAGGCTCCCTTCCCGCTAATGCTGTGACTGTCCAGACCTCCTTGAGTGGGACCTGGGCTGGGAGAAGCTTAACCCAACCCTCCCAGCCACAGAAGGACTCCTAGTGGGTAAAAAAGTCTCAGCCCTTATGCACCCCTGGGGGAAATGGAATATGGTACAGCCGCTGTGGAAAACAATCTGGTTGTTCCTCAAAAAGCTAAACATAGAATTACCATGTGACCCAGCAATTCCATTCCTAGGCTTATACCCAAAAAAACTGAGTACAGGCACTCAAACTAATACATGTATACACATGTACACAGCAGCAATATTCATAATAGCCAAAAGGTGGAAACAACCCACATTCCACCCAGGGATGACTGGATAAACAAATGGTGGTGTATGCACAATGGATACCCATGGATAGACAATGGAATATTACTCAGCCATGAAAAGGAATGGAACACTAATACATGCTACTGTGTGGATGAGCCTCGAAAACATTCTGCTAAGTTACAGAAGCCAGGCACAAAAGGTCTCATAGTGTATGATTCCATTTATGTAAAATGCCCAGAACAGGCAAACCCATGGAAACAGAAAGTGGATTGTCATTTGCCAGGGGCTGGGGGAGGAGGGGAATGGGTTGTGACTGCTTAAAAGTTACCGGGTTTCCTTTTGGGGTGTGTATTCATCTGCTTGGGCTGCCACAAGATGTCCCAGACTGGGTGGCTGAAACTACAGACATTTATTTTCTCGTGGCTCTGGAGGCTGGGAAGTCCAAGATCAAGGTGCCAGCAGGGTTGGTGCCTGGTAAGGACTCTCCCATTGGGTTGCAGATGGCCGCCTTCTGATTGTGTGTTCATGCAGCCTTTCCTTGGTGTGTGCTCAGAGAGAGAGAGAGAGGGAGCTCTGTGATGTCTATTTTTTTTTTTTTTTTTTTTTTTGAGACAGAGTCTCGCTCTGTCGCCCAGACTGGAGTGGCCTGATCTCAGCTCACTGCAACCTCCACCTCCCAAGTAGCTGGGACTACAGGCATGTGCCACCATACCTGGCTAATTTTTTGTATTTTTAGTAGAGACGGGGTTTCACCATGTTGGTCAGGCTGGTCTAGAACCCCTGAACTCAAGCAGTCCACCCTCCTTGGCCTCCCAAAGTGCTGGAATTGTAGGCGTGATCCATCGCGCCTGGCCAATGTCTATTTTTATAAGGACACTAATCCTATCAGATCAGGGCTGCACCCTTATGACCTCATTTAACCTTAATTACTTCCTTAAAGGCCCCATTGCCAAATGCAGCCACATTGTGGGTTAGGGTTTTAACCTAAGAATTTTGGCAGGACATAAACCTTTAGTCCATACTAGCATGACGAAAATGTTTTGGAACTAGATAGAGGTGGTAGTTGCACTCACAAAACAGGCGTTTGATTTGGTCTCGTCCTAAATGCGCCTGGATCGATCACTTTTCAACGGTTAATTTTATGTTATATGAATTTCACCTCTGTAAAAAAAAACAGAAAGACTCTCAGGAGGTTAGAGTTGAAAAGGTCCCCAGAGGTCCTCTCCGTTCTGACCTCCCTCTGGTGCTGGTCTGTTTGAATTCCTTCTCCAAGGGGGAGTGAACCCCCGAGGAAGGAAGACGTTCTGTTGTGGGATGGTTGTGGTCGTCAGCGAGCCATGATGTTAAACCAGTCCAAATCTGCCTTCGTGGCTTGAAATCCTTCAGGAGACTGAGATTTTGCCAACCCAAATGTGGCTTTGATTAAGCCCTCCACATGGGTTGGCTGTGCAGCCAGGCGGCCTCCTTTGAATGGTTCTCACCCTCCCTGCCAGCCACAGACCGCAGGGCGGCCCAGCAAGACCAGCGTCCCTTCCACAGATGTAAATGAGGTTAGTTCATTCCTGGCCTCCTTCTGCTCCATGCACGGGGCCTGAGATAGGGGCAGGAAGGGGGCACATAGAGGAGCAGCTCTTGCTGCCTGGCAAGGGGCTTTCCTAAGTATCCCCGTGCCCTGCAACCACTGTGCCACTCCGGAGTCTTCCGGCTTCCATCTCTCCAGCCTGGGCTGCTGCCAAGGACACTGTGTCCTGGCCAACATGCACAGCATATGCTCCTCACCCGAGCAGTCCAGCTCCATAAGTCAGGCCCACACTACCATACTGTACACACATGCCCGGACAAACACAGAGACAAACACAACGCAAGCTCACATACATGCATCAGGGCCACTGCCTCGTAGGTGTACACATTACTCTGTGTGTGCATGCACGCACAGCAGCCCCATGCACACACTCCTGCAGCAGGCACTGGAACATGAACACATGAGCCCCCTACGTACAACGTGCAAAGACACTGATTTACATTTACACACAGCTTTGGACATTTAACCCTATCTCCTTGAAGACTTTCAAAGCAAAGCAGGAGTCTAGAAATTTGGAGCAGTTGAGGAAGATGCTGCTCAGGGAGGCTGGAGAGGCTTTTGCAATTCAACTTCTGTGTCCAAATTAGATTTCACAGGACATGTGCACATTGGTAAATAAACAGAATTCGGTTGTTTATTCTGCCTTTAGTTTTTCTCTCCTATGTGGAAAGGAAATGCGATTTTGGTTTTCCTAGTTGGCAGTCATGAAAACAACATGCATTTTGATTTGGCGTACCTGAAACTGTATGTTGGAACAGAGATGCACCTCAGGTTTTGTTTTGTTTTTCATTAACCGTTTATCAGATGAAAAATCTCTTTTCAAATGAGAGAATTTGTAAGTAGCTTTTTAATAAATGGTGATGTGACTCCAAAGAGCCTGGAATATTGGAGAGCAGGGAGGCATTCACCAAGGATGCACTGGCTCAGAGGGGCCCCTCTGAATGTCTGGAGACATGTCTTCCCACTTAGCAGTGTCTGGCCTGGAGGTAGAGCTGAGGACGTTGTGTTGGGTGGGGGAAAACCATGGTTCTTCCTTTCATCCCAGTTGCCCAGAGATGACATTCTCAGGCCACCACGACTGTCCCTGGGCCATTTACCTGCCATGTGCTCTGCTGACAGTAGACTGACAGCTCTGTGGAAAGATGCATGTGCTCATACAAAGTCTGGGCACCGCCTGGGGCCTTTTTGGCTCTGTGACTCTTGTTCATACCTCCCACAGGCTGCTGTGTGTGGCTCAGCTGCAGGGGCAAACCCCTCTCACTTCCCTTTAATCCAGTTCCCATTCCTCCCAGGACAACCTTGGTATGCTTCAAATAGTGTTGGCTTTCACCCTAGAGCTAGGAGGCATCTTGAGATAATTTGTGTGTATGGTGTGAGGTAGGGCCGAGATTCCTTTTCCTCCTGTGGATGTACGGTTGTCTCTGCACCATTTGTTAAAAAGATCATCTGTTTCCCCCATGGAAACACCCTAACCTCTTTGCTGCAGTCAATCGGCCCTAGCTGGGTGACTTTGTGTTCTGTTCCGCTGATCTGTGTAACTGCCAGGACTACTCCTGCCACCCCTGGACCTCCTACCCACCTGTTGAATCAGGTGGGGCACCCAAGCCACCCAGAGGGGGTGGAGTGCCCCAGTACAGCTTCCTGGATCTCAGGCCCTTCAGGCAGAGACAATTGTCAACAGCTTGGATTGCCCCGTTTCATACTCCAGTGCTTCTCTGGTGGCTTCCCCTGCCAGGATCACTGAGGGGACCTTTCTTTGCTGCTAGACTCCTAGATAAAATCAGGCAGTCATTTCCCATAAACACCCACCTCGGCCTGAGCCTGCGCCACCACCACACAGGGCTGGCCAGCCATCAGAGGGATCTGCTGTGCACTGTTGGGCAATTCTTCGCTGCTGGCTGCTCTGCTCCAGACCCAGAAGCCTCACCACATGCTGTCTTTTATTCAGCTTTTGCCACTCGACTTTAATGAATTCTCTGGGGGAAGTGGCTTTTGGATGATATTAAGTCAACAGAACATTCAGCCTGGATTTACTGGCTGTGTTGAAGAGGCTGGGAGCAAGAAAGCGGGGGTATCACTTGGAAGGGTCATGCGGTTAAAGAGCTCCAAATCATAGAGAATGTAGCCTGGGGCCTGCATTGGCAAGTCTTAGGGACTTCAGGAGATTTCTTCTACGTGAAGCCTCTCCTTGGAGTGGAGAAGTGATGCTGCTAAGAGGACTTGGCCCTTCTCTAGTAAGCTGTGGGCAGCATCAGGGCTCACAGCTAGAGAAGCAGTGCTAGAGGAGACCGTGCTTCCTAGGATGGCCGTGGGAGCCTTCTCTGCCCTGTGGCTGCATCTAGGTCACTAGACCCACACAGTCCATCTTCCCCACTCCTGGAAGCCAAGGAGCTGGGTTTTTCCTATAAGCAGCGCTGTGTGATACCTGCTGTTTGAAAAGAGCTTCTCCGGCTGGGCATGGTGGCTTATGCCTGTAATCCCAGTACTTTGGGAGGCCGAGGTAACCCCTCCCTGCAGCTGCTCTCAGTTGGTCAGGAGTTCGAGACCGGCCTGGCCAACATGGCAAAACCCCGTCTCTACTAAAAATATAAAAATTAGCCGGATGTGGTGGCACACGCCTGTAATCCCAGCTACTCGGGAGGCTGAGACAGGAGAATCGCTTGAACCCAGGAGGCAGAGGTTGCCATGAGCCAAGATCGCGCCATTGTACTCCAGCCTAGGCGACAGAGCAAGACTGTCTCAAGGAACAAACTAATAAACAAATGAAAAGAGCTTCTCCCTGGAATAGAACCTGTTTTCCTTCCTTGATTTATTAGCAGATGCTTGCACCCCTCATCAGCAAACCAGGGAGGGGTGATGTGAAAGCTCTGGGGACAGTGACGGCCCAGGGGTCAAGGCCCTCACTGCAGCTGAGGCTTTGGAATGTCCCCACACCTGCTTCCGGCACCTTCCTGGGTCCTTTCGAGCCTCTGGATTTCTAGGAATCCCCACCCCCCCCACCTCTTGGCTGTGCGCCACAGTCTGTTTCCTTAGCTCCAGAGGTAAGGTGAGCTCACTTGGACCTTGGTGGCTCATCTGACTCTGTGAGTTGAAACGTGATGCTCATGTCTGGTTTCTGCCTGACTTCTGCCTCATCCGCGTCCACATTCTCAGCTGTCATATACCTCCCCGAGACCTGGGGTGGAGCCCCACCATCCTGCCTCAGGAAGGGCTTTGGCTTGTGACCTGAGTCTCATGGTCTTTGTGTTGCAGCTCCTTGGGAGAGGCGTGGGCCCAGGTGAAGAAGAGCCTGGCGGACGAAGCAGAAGTTCACCTCAAGTTCTCTGCCAAGGTAACCCCTCCCTGCAGCCACCCTCAGTTGGTCTTACACACTGGGGTACTAAAAAATAGTTAACAACTGTCTCTCCAGTTTGCCGTTTGCCATTTTCCCTGGTGTAAACTTCAGGCTATCAACATGAAGTCACGGAATACGGAGTTGGGAAGAGATATCTGCCCAGTGGCTCACCATGAGGTGGTGCATTTTTGTATAGACACAGTAGCACAAATAACCATCAATATCCACCAAGAGCATGGAAAATAGTAAAGTGTAGTTAGGAGGTGGTAAGTGCTAGGTATTTATTGCCTTTGTTTTTTATGTTTTGTTATTTTTAAAAAGACAAGGTCTCACTGTGTTGCCCAGGCTGGAGTGCAGTGACATGATCATAGCTCACTGCAGCCTCAGCCTCCTGGGCTCAAACGATTCTCCCACCTCAGCCTCCCAAGTAGCTGGGACAACAGGTGTATGCAACCATGCCTGGGTAATTTTTTTATTTATTTGTAGAGATGGGGTCTCGCTATTTTCCCCAGGCTGGTCTTGAACCTCCTGGCTTCAAGCAGTCTTCCTGCCTCTACCTCCCAAAATGCTGGGATCACAGACATGAGCCACTATACCTGGCCTATTACCTTCGTTTTTAATATAATTTTTATTCAATTATAAGTTCATATCATTTCCTTTTTGATAATGGCCGTGTTTAACAACCAGCAAACAGAATTCCTGAAAATTTAACATTCAGCTCTTGGGAGCCACTGGGAGCAGGCCTTAGCACACCTGCCCAGTTTCTCAGGGCAGCCCCTGAGTGACGAAGCCCTGCTTTCTTTTTGCCTGGCTTTCAAAGGGATGGAGTAGGATGTCCTGTCTCTTCCTAGTGTCAGGGAACATTAGGTTATGCCAAAGGGAGAATTTTTTTTAAATTTGTGGTTGTTGCAAAATTTCAGAACAAGTAAAGGGTCCTTCTTTATTTATTTATTCATTTATTTATTGATTGATTTATTGATTTATTGATTTTGAGACAGAGTCTTGCTTTGTCGCCCAGGCTGGAGTGCAGTGGTGCGATCTCAGCTCACTGCAAGCTCCGCCTCCCGGGTTCAAGTGATTCTCCTGCCTCAGCCTCCCGAGTAGCTGGGACTACAGGCGCCTGCCACCACACCCAGCTAATTTTTTGTATTTTTAGTAGAGATGGGGTTTCACCGTGTTGGCCAGGCTGGTGTTGAACTCCTCACCTCATGATCCACCCTCCTCCGCCTCCCAAAGTGCTAGGATTATAGGCGTGAGCCACCACTCCCGACCATAAAGCATCCCTCTTTCATTTAATTCTGAAGATACTAGTGCCAGGACTCGAGGGCAGGGTGTTTCTGTCCTATTCCCATCCTCAGGGCTCAGGATGGTGTCTTGCATGTAGTAGATGCTTAATAAATATTTTCTTATTGAGTCATGAATGAACAGAGCCCTCTGACTATCTCCACCCCACCCCCAGTCTTTTCAGGTCTGCTTTCTCTCAAGATTTCTCCATGTTTCCAAGTGACTCTCCCTTCCCCACTCCCTGGCACATACCTCCAGGTTTTCTCTCCGACTCTCAGCTAATTTTTAGATGAAAAATAAACTAAATCTCTCAGTGAAGTAATCCACTCTAAAGTGTACATGATTGGTGGGGCTACCCATTAACAGGCTTGCCTTTTAAAGAAAGGGGCCAGGCGTGGTGGCTCACGCCTGTAATCCCAGCACTTTGAGAGGCTGAGGTGGGTGGATCATGAGATCATGAGATCGAGACCATCCTGGCCAACATGGTGAAACCCCATCTCTACTAAAAATACAAAAATTAGCTGGGCTTGGTGGCGCATGCCTGTAGTCCCAGCTACTCGGGAGGCTGAAGCAGGAGAATCTCTTGAACCCTGGAGGCAGAAGTTGCAGTGAGCCGAGTTCACGCCACTGCACTCCAGCCTGGCAACAGAGTGAGACTCTGTCTCAAAAAAAAAAAAAAAAAAAGCGGGGGGGACCTTTCAGAGTGCACCATCCCAGTGACCCTGGCCTCCTCGCTCTTCCCTCTGTCCTCCCACCATCACTAGTCAGACACAGCAGGGTAAAGTGCCTAAACGCTGAGTCTCCCTTCTTTAAACACGTGCTTGATCATTTGAAGGTAGCATCCCTCAGAGATGGTCGCTCCTTCCTGGGACTTCCACGTTCAGCACTCACTGGTCCTGTCTCTTTCCTAGTGTCGTTCCTACTGCAATTGCAAGTCCCTGCTTTGGGATCCCATACGATGTACCCCGTGGTGGTACTCGGCACACAGAAGGCAGAATGAATGACTCAGATGACTGAGACACGTGAAAGGACTTTCTAAAGAGCTGGGTTGGAAGAGGGAACAGAGCTGCTACAGCTCCCCATGGCTTAGTGTGCCCCAAGATTGAGTTGACACCCAGATGTGAGTGAGAATTCCCAGCCAGTGAAGGCATGCTAACTAACCTCATTACACCAAGCGCTTCAGTAGAAAATTGCTACTCAAGTCCTGGCAGAGAAGGGAACTCCGTGAATGGATCTTTTTCCTGCATTGCATCCAAAACAGCAAGTTATTTTTCAGCTGCAGATCATGAGTAGCTTTCCCCTCAAGGCCTCCCTTCCCCTGTCGGGGCCCCCAGCAGCTCCATTCTCTGCTGTGGTAGAAACTTCCATTGACTGGGAAGATCCTGGGCGGGCTGCCATTGTGATGGGGTGGGGCTGGGAGCCAGAGTTGCGAGCTTTGGAAAGGTCACCTGCTGGGTCCCCGGGAATCTTGGTGGCATTTACTCCCCATCAGCAGGACCCCTGATTCTTGATTGTTTAGAGTGCTCAACAGGTGGCAAAACTCTCTCCGACGTGGTAGTGGTGACATAAGTGGTGTGGATGGCTGTGTGCAGGATATAACTCATTGCCGTCAACCACCACGCGAGATAGCATACACATTTCACAGTGAGAAGAGGTGGGGTGAGATCACAGCCCATGGTCACACAGCCAGGTGGGTTCAGTCACAGAGGAAGCAAAGGAAAGGACTGAGCGAATGGGAGACTTGGTCCCCAGAGCTTTTCTTCCAGCAGCTCCCCTGCTTTGGCAGACCAATGGCATTGAAAACACAGCCTCTTCTTGAGCCTGTGCCTTTCCAGGGGTTGCCAATGGGCTACTGCAGACTGGCCCTGGACAACCACATGCTCAGAACATTTTAAGTTAGTGTTCAGGACACAGGGTGGACCTCACCATTCAGTTGACAGGAAGCTCATGAAGACCCGTCATGCAAAACAGACTTTGCTACGAGAGGCTCTCGGCTGCTTCCAGCCTGTCGGTCAGTGTTGGTGGCCTCAAGCGGTCATCGCAGCAGCCTAGTGGTTTTATGGCGATTCCTTGAGAAGAAAGTGGCTCCAAGGATGTATTTGACTGCCATGAATAATATAGCTCCATATGCCAAAAACCGTTTTTAATGTCTGCTCCAAAAGACTTATTGAAATTCTGCTCTGAATGCTCTGTGTCAGGGGTAAAAGCTCTTTAAGAAATGCAATTTTGTTGCAGCAATTTTTGTGGTTTTTCTGGTCCATTAGCTCAAGCCATTGCTAATAGCAACAGATTGCTAAAGAAATGAGAGAGCCGTATACAAAGAAAGTTATACCTGGCTCCTGCTGAAGAAGGGAGAAGAGCAGAATTCCTTCTGCTGATAGAAAATCTCATGCGGTAGAGGCTCTGCGTTCCATCAGAAGATTTAGGGGACAGGAGTGAGGAGACATGAGTTGTATCTCAGTATTGTCACTAACAAGCTCTGTGACCTTGAGCAAGTCACTTAGCTCCCCTGGGGTTTCATTTCTTCACATATGAAATGAAGAATTCAGACCAGATCAGTCTCTTTACACTTATCTGACAGTGACTTACAATGATGCATTTTATGTGAGCATTCAGAACCTGTCTGTAGGTATCCACTCCGATATCTGCACACAGACATTCACACACATCTGTAGCTGAAACAAACGTTTCATAAAACAGTATTTATCCTCCTACTTAAAATGTACTCTGGTATTTTCTGTTCAAGTCTGGTCTGTTCTCACCAAAAAGCTGGTCCTGGCCCATTAAATCGATTTCACAACTCTCGGCCGCACACCGTCTGAAAAATATCAGACTAGACAGTGTCTGAAATTCCTACCAACTTGGAACTTCTCTTATTCTCTTCTGATGTGTGAGATGAAAAGGAAGCAAAGAGAGCGAGAGTTTTGGAAAGAAAAACTGATGGGCCATGACAGGCCGGCCTGAGTCTGTGAGGACACTTTGAGGAAGGACTTCTGATTCCTGGTTCAACAGAGATGCTTAAAAGTTAAGAATGGGTACTAAAGATACCAGCCTAACCATTTTAAAGGAAAAAAAAAACTGTCTTTTAAAAGTACTTAATATCGTCGGGCACAGTGGCTCACACCTGTAATCCCAGCACTTTGGGAGGCCGAGGCGGGCGGATCATGAGGTCAGGAGATCAAGACCATCCTGGCTAACATGGTGAAACCCCGTCTCTACTAAAAATACAAAAAAAAATTAGCCAGGTTTGGTGGCGGGTGCCTGTAATCCCAGCTACTTGGGAGGCTGAGGCAGGAGAACGGCTTGAACCTGGGAGGTGGAGCTTGCAGTGAGCCAAGATTGCGCCATTGCACTCCAGCCTGGGAGACAGAGTGAGACTCCGTCTCAAAAAAATAAATAAATAAATAAAATACTTGATGTCTGTAGCGAGATGGAGATGCCAGGCATCCTCATCTGTGGAATCAAATCACTTGTGATAGTTAGCAGCGTCACGCTTCCAGAATGTCATTTGAATTTGGGGAAAGCTTCCTGGCATATTGGCAGGTTCATGGGCTTTTCCCCAGACCACAGAACCTGGGGCTGGGGTCCAGGAAACCTTAATGTTGAAAACTCTTCAGGTCATTCCTGGGCGTATTAAAGCCTGAAAGTCACTTGCTTTCCATGTCCTTAGAGACCCCGGAGTTTCTGAGTCAGCAGGCTGAGCTAACTCTCCCAGATTCCCGGAGTCGTACAGCTGCTCCTACTCAGCAAATGCCAAACCTATATACGTGGGAAAGGGGTTTATTTATTCTCGTAAGCTCTCAAGATTTTTGTAGCATCCTGCAAACTGCCGCCAGGTGGGGATGTTTTCCTATACAGGGAAGGTTCCAGGGGCTCAAAAAAAATAGTAGGACATATTTACAACTAACACGAGGAGGAGAGAGGGGTGTTTGGATGGCCAGTTCTCTGTTAGTCTGTGACGGTCATCCAGCGACAAAGCTGTCTTCTTGTCACCCAGGGGATTGAGCTCTGAAGAGTTTGTCATTCTCTCTACAAACACAGAAGGGGCACCCACCCAGCCCCAGCCCAGGTCAGACACTGGGCACAGCAGTGCTCAACCCAGATGGGGCCCCTGCCCGCTTGGAGCTCCCAGCCCCGTGTAAGTCAGTTGCTTAGAATAGGGACACCTAAGTCCTGGTTGTATCCAGAGAAAAAGATATTGTACAGCAAAAACCTGAGGGAGAGGAGAGAAGTCACAGAACCCTCGTTGGGATATCATCTGTCCAGGGAAGTTGAGCTGTGCTCCCTAGAGACACCTCTAAGACCGGTGGAGGCAGATTTGCGGTGGTGGGGTGGTCATAGGTTGAAGAGAGTTGCCTGATTCCAGGCAGTGGGGTGGGAGGGGTGCACAGGGCTAGGGTGCCACCTGGCTTTGACCACAGCAGGTCCCGTTGATCTGTTTTCTTATAAATGTTATGGGCTGGGCACGGTGGCTCACGCCTGTAATCCCAGCACTTTGGGAGGCCGAGGCGGGCGGATCACGAGGTCAGGAGATCGAGACCATCCTGACTAACACGGTGAAACCCCATCTCTACTAAAAATACAAAAAAAAAAAAAAAATTAGCCGGGCGTGGTGGCAGGTGCCTGTAGTCCCAGCTACTCGGGAGGCTGAGACAGGAGAATGGCGTGAACCTGGAAGGCGAGGCTTGCAGTGAGCCGAGATCGCGTCGCTGCACTCCAGCCTGGGCGACAGAGCGAGACTCTGTCTCAAAAAAATAAATAAATAAATAAAAAATAAATAAATGTTATGCTCACAAACAAAAGGAACAAATTTTAAGGAAAAGTTCTTTTAAAGGGGGGTGGGATGGGAAAGAGGGAAGGAATAAAAGAGAAGAAAAAAGCTTAAAACCCTGATGCCACCCAGCTCTTCTGACAGCATAAACCCTTTTCTCTGGCCCCTGGGATACAGGGCGGTTCCCTTTGCCTGTGCTCCAGGCAGCCCAGCAAGCTGAGAATGTCTTTATGAGCGCAATGCGGGACAGTTGCCCTTGTGAGTTTCCAGCAGGTCTCCAACAGTTCCCACCATCAGTTCCTCGAGGTTTGGACCCTGTCTAGCTCACCTTTGTATTCTCAGCACCTGCCATGGAGTAGATGTTCGATAAATAGGACTGACCTGAGACCTTCTAATTGAATGGCATTCATTCGACTGTTCTTTACTGAAGCCGCGTACCCCAGTCACTGTGCTGAGTGCTTGGAGACACAGACGCTGATGTGGTTTCTGTCCCCAGAAAGCTCTCAGTTCGGAAAATAAGGGAGAGAGACATAAGAACAAAGCCGTGCAAGAAGCTGTGGGATAAAATAAGTGTGTGAGGTCATTGATTATTATTGTTTTTTGTTTGTTTGTTTTGTTTTTTTTTTTTGAGACCAAGTCTCACTCTGTCACCCAGGCTGAAGTGCAGTGGCACAATCTCGGCTCACTGCAACCTCCCAGGTTCAAGTGATTTCCTGCCTCAGCCTCCTGAGTAGCTGGGATTACAGGCACCTGCCACCACTCCCAGCTAATTTGTGTGTGTGTGTGTGTGTGTGTGTGTGTGTGTGTGTGTGTGTGTATGTAGTAGAGATGGGGTTTCACCATGTTGGCCAGGCTGGTCTCGAACTCCTGACCTCAGGTGATCAACCTGCCTTGGCCTCCCAAAGTGCTGGGATTACAGGCATGAGCCACCGTGCCCAGCCCATTGATTATTAACTTGATTTAGCCATTCCACAATATATACATATTTCAAAACAGCATATTATAAACCATAAATAGTAAAAAATTCTAAAAATTTAAAAGCTGCAGAAGCTCAGAAAAAAAGTAGTTAACAGATGGGGAAATCAGAAGGCTCTAGTTGCTAACCACTTATCCTGTAGACGTGTGTGGGGGCCTCCTGAGCTAAGGTGACCTGCCTAAGCTGAGACCTGATAGGCAGCCACGTGTCAGGGGGTGTCTCTCACCTTCCTGCCAGGTCGCTACCCCAGACTCATCCTCACTTGCCTGGGGAAGTGGGGGTGCCCCTCCCATCCCTCCTCCCTGCACTGGCTTACAGCTGATGCCCTGGGTCCTGAGTGTGCGTCTCTACTCTCCCAACAGCTTCACAGCGAGGTGGAGAAGCCCCTGATGAACTTCCGTGAGAACTTCAAGAAAGACATGAAGAAGTGCGACCACCACATTGCCGACCTTCGCAAGCAGCTCGCCAGCCGCTATGCCTCGGTGGAGAAGGTGAGAGGCCCAGGACGCTGGGCCAGGGCAGGTGCATGGGGGACTGCCTGGAAGAAGGGGGACTGGGAAGCCAGCAGTGGCTCCATACGCCAAGGCTGAGTCTTTGTCCCCAGGTAGGGGAATAGGGGGATGTCCAAGCCTCGTGCCTACGCCAGAGCACCCCACCCATCCAAGGGCAGATAGGAGCTGCCTCCCTGTGGTGCTGGAATGACCACCCAGAGGGCCAGGGGTGCGAGGAGAGGCTGCAGCTGCAGTGGGCAGTCGAGTGGCTGTTGGCGACCAGTTAAACCCCGAGCCTAGCAGTGCTGCTGCTGGTTCACGTGGGGCCCCGTGTTTAAGCCTCACCTGGCTGAGTCGTCCTGACTCAGTCACCGCCTCCCTGCTCTCCTTCCTGCTCAGGGATGAGGCTGAGTCCTGGGTGGTCTCACCTCCAGGGAACTGATGTTCAGCCTTAGAGGGAAGAGAGTGTGCCCCAGGGACTGATTCCCAGTCCCCAGTGCCTTAGAGAGGAGAAGGGGGCTCAAACTGCTGGGACACCCTGGGCCCAGCCAACTGCCGCCACCCAAGGACCACAGAGATGCCAGTGGTGGCCTGGAGGAAAGGCAGTACAGTGAGGGGAACAAGAGGGCCGAGGCTTGTCCAGCTCCAGAACGGGAGGGCTGTTGCTACATCCTATTAAGTGCTGCAGGGAGGTGACACAGATGGCCTTTGTGGTCCCTTCCAAGCAGAGGGGCTGTGACTTTAGGACTGCCTAGGTCCCCAGTCTTTGTACAGGCTCCATCGGGAAAAAAACGTGGTTTGAGAGATTGAGGTAGGCTGAGTCCAGATGTCACTGGAAGAGGCAAGGACGAAAAGAGTTGGGTTGTAGCCTCTACCTAGCTGGGTGGTGCCACTCTGGCTGCTGGGCCTCTCTGGACCACTGTGGCATCATCCACACAAACAAGGGGCGAAAGGACTCCAAAGGGAAGCTGGGCTGCGTGGCCCAGGAGGCCCACTGGCTCCGAGCTGTATGAGCAGCTTCTCCGTGTCCTTGGACCCCAGGCCCGGAAAGCCCTCACAGAGCGGCAGAGAGACCTGGAGATGAAGACCCAGCAGCTGGAGATCAAGCTGAGCAACAAGACAGAGGAGGACATCAAGAAGGCGCGGAGAAAGTCCACACAGGCTGGTAAGTGCTGGGCACCCGCCTGGCCTGGTCAGTGCACACAGAAGGAGAGGGCACGGGGCTAGGAGATGAGGTGACTGGCGAGGGTGCATCTCTCCTTTGCAAGACTGCAGCGAGGAAATTACTTCCCTTGTTTGCCAGGAGGTACCCCCTCTTCCCTTCTCTCTGACCCACACCCAGAGATCTCAAAGAAAGAGACTTTGGGGGTCAGAGGAAGGACACAGGCCGGGCTAGTTCTGGGGCATGGTAGAGGCTGGACTCCTTACTCTCTCCCTGGTCGTGGCTTTTTTTGTTTTCCGCCCAAGCCCCAGATCTCTGACCAGGAGGTGGACAAACTCCTTCATGCACTGAGAGCTCAGGGCCCTGTCCCTGTTCAGAGCCCACAGAAGCACACAGCTCACCCAAGCTGCCCACTTCCCCAGGAAGCAATGCTCTCTCTGAAGGTTCACCTATGGGGATGGGCTCCTGCCCTGGGAACAGAGGCTGACACTTTGTTTAAAGAAATAACCAGATTTCAGTCTCTTGGGAATAGTCTCCCAATGAGTTGGTTTCTGCTTCCACCTAGTGGTCAAAGTTAGCTAATACACAAAGAGGAAGAGAAGGCCTGGTAGAACCAGTGAAAACCTCGGTAACTAGATCTAAGGGAAGCCACGTTTCACTGCACGAGAGGACACGCATGTTGCCTCTGGAATTAGAATGTGTGCCGTAGTATTAGAGTTTGGTCTGTAGGTCCCTTTCACCTCAATTTCTGGTGAACCTGTTACAATTCCTTCATTATAGAAGAAAGCAGCCACCTTACATTTCAAAATAAGGTAAGATAGAAATAAGTCAATAAAAAATAATGTAATAGAAGGATAACGTTTATTATACAAATCTTATAATGCACAATAATAAATTACAGGATCAAGAAGTAGAGGGCACAGTATATTTATTGGTAGAGAGAAGGGGGGGCACAGAAGGGGAAGAGATCTGTTTAAATTATTAAGTTATTAAAAAAATAACTTATAGGCCAGGTGCAGTGGCTAACACCTGTAATCCGGCAGTCTGAGAGGCTGAGGCAGGAGGATCAGTTGAGCCCAGGAGTTCGAGACCAGCCTGGGCAACATAGTACCTCATCTCTACAAAAAAATTTGAAAAAATTAGCTAGGCATGGTGGTGCATGCCTGTAGAATCAGCTACTCAGGAGGCTAAGGTGGAGGATGGCTTGAACCCAGGAGGTTAAGGCTGCGGTGAACTATGATCACACCATTGCATTCCAGCCTGGGTGACAGAGAGAGACTCTACCTCAAAAAACAATTATATTGCAAAAACAGTATTGGTACATGGCAAAATATTTTAATCAGCAGACAAGAATATAAAATGCTATTCACAGAAATAATCACCATCTCTTCCTAGTGTTTTGATTTTTAAATATTTAAATTTATATACATTTGATCATACAATCTATCTTCTGAACTTATTTAATATATCTTGGAAATACCTCTTTTTCATTTCTGTAAATCTTTTTGCCCATCCATTCATGCATATCAAACTTTTTAATGGCTGGCCAGTGTCCAGTTGTATGATTGTACCCAAATTTGTTTCATCATTCCCTTAACTGAGGTTTAGGACTCTTAGATTGTTTCAGAGTGCTTGCCAGCCAGTGAAGCTGTGTTATTGTACCTGCATCTTTGTGTGTGCCTAAGACCAGATCTGCATATAGAGAGAATATAGTTGCTGAGTCAAAGGGTATTATTCGTCTTGATGGATATTTCCAAATTGCTTTCCAGAGAGAGCACCTATCAACAGCATCTATGAATAATGCCTGTTCTCTAAATGCTTATCAACATTGTGTGTTATCAAGATTTGAAATTGGTAGTGAGTGGGGAAAAATGATATTTTGTTTTTAATTTGCTTTTCTCCATAACCCAGGTTGAGTATGTAAAATATACATATAAATCATTGTTGTACTTTCTGTGAACTGATTAACTCATATCCTTTCCCCACTGACCATAGATTCTTTATCTATCAGGGAGATGAATCGTTTTTCATTTTAATTGCAGATATTTTTCCTAGATTGTCATTTGTCTTTTAGTTTTGTTCTTTGTAATTTTTTTTTTTTGCTTGTTTGTCTATTTTTTCTTGCTGTTTTTCTGTACAGTGATATTTCCCATAAGAAGCCTAGATTTCGGAGCTGATTTAGATCTTTTTTTTTAATCACCTAGAGGGTTTTTTCTTACTTTTTTTTTTTGTTTCAGGTGTTTATTTTTGTTTTTGTTTTTAAAATAGTGAAGGCCGGCCGTGGTGGCTCACGCCTGTAATCCCAGCACTTTGGGAGGCCCAGGCGGGCAGATCACGAGGTCAGGAGTTCAAGACCAGCCTGGCCAACATAGTGAAACCTCGTCTCTACTAAAAATACAAAACTTAGCTGGGTGTGGTGGTGTGTGCCTGTAATCCAAGCTACTTGGGAGGCCAAAGCAGGAGAATCGCTTGAACCCAGAAGGCAGAGGTTGCAGTGAGCTGAGATCGCAGCACTGCACTCCAGCCTGGGCAAGAGAGTGAGACTCTGTCTCAAAAAACAAAACAAACAAACAAACAAAAAAAGACAGTGAAATATGTAACCCACCAGACATTTATTTTTCCTTACACTGGTGGTCTAACCATATTCCACAGGTTCTTATTTGTGGTGGTTTTATTTCTGCTATTTTCATTATGTTTTGCTATTTGGGTTTTCATTTGATCTTCGAACCAAGAATTGTTTCAAAGAAAATCTTTATATGTTTACAAGCAAGGGCTTTGTTGTTGTTTTCTAATCTTGCTATTTTTTTTTACATAGTTTTATTGCATTGTCATCAGATAATACGGTCTCTCATTCCTGTAGTTTGGAATTATTTTGTGACGAAAGTGACAGTCCTTAGACCTAACTCTGAAAAATACCGCCTCTTCTGAGCACTCGCTGTGGCCAGCCTCCATGCTTTAGAGCATTGTCTCTTTTGATCAGCACAGTCCCCCTGCAGGGAGGTATTTTTATACCCTTTACAAATGAGAAGACTGATGGCAGAGAAAATGAGAACCTTCCATGAGGTCCACAGTGGTGGAGCGGCGAAGCCACAATTCAGTCTCCTCTCATTCCAGAGACTCTGCTTGTCGCCATTTTGCTGGACAGCCTGTTGCTCAGGAAATGCCACCTGTTCTTTCCTTCTGTTCCTTTCCTCCCTCTTCCTCATCTTTTCCAAGGCTACTAGAAGGAAAGACATCAGATCCTCAGGGATCATCATCATCATCATCATCATCATCATCATCTTCATCACCACCATAGCCCATATTAATATTTGGCTCTCTACGCCCATCTCTATTCTAAGTGCTTTACATATTTTGACATATTTATTCCTCATAACAACTTGGTAAAGGTACAATCGTTATCTCCATTTTACAGATGAAGACACGGAGGCAAGCGCAGGATAACCGACTTGTCTACGATTACATAGCTAATAAGTAGTTGAGCTGGGATGACAACAAAGGCTTTTTTTTTTTTTTTTTTGAGATGGAGTCTTGCTCTGTCGCCCAGGCTGGAGTGCAGTGGTGCGATCTCTGCTCACTGCAAGCTCCGCCTCCCTGGTTCATGCCATTCTCCTGCCTCAGCCTCCCGAGTAGCTGGGACTACAGGCGCCTGCCACCACGCCTGGCTAATTTTTTATATTTTTAGTAGAGACGGGGTTTCACCGTGTTAGCCAGGATGGTCTCGATGTCCTGACCTCGTGATCCACCCGCCTCGGCCTCCCAAAGTGCTGGGATTACAGGCGTGAGGCACCGCGCCTGGCCAACAAAGGCATTCTTGTCCCACAATCCATGGTCTTAACCAATACTGTTCTAAAAAGTTCCAATTTCAAGCTCTTGGGCTGCCATAGAGAGAAGGTACAGCCCCCTTCACCTACTCTGTTTCCCAATGCTGTGGAAGTTCCTGAAGCAATTTCTCAAAATCAGCATTGACACACAGGGCTCAGGGAGTTTCACAGTGTACAGAGCAGCACGCCGCCCTCCTCCTCGGCCAGGCAGGAGCTCTTGCTAGAAATGCATTTGCATTTCGGAGGCTGAGGCGGGCGGATCACAAGGTCAGGAGTTCGAGACTAGCCTGGCCGATATGGTGAAACCCCATCTCTACTAAAAATACAAAAACTAGCCAGGGGTGGTGGCGCATGCCTGTGGTACCAGCTACTCGGGAGGCTGAGGCAGAAGAATCACTTGAACCCGGGAGGTGGAGGTTGCAGTGAGCCGAGATTGCGCCACTGCACTCCAGCCTGGGTGACAGAGCCAGACTCCGTCTCAAAAAAAAAAAAAAAAAGAAAAAAATGCATTTTACGGTGCAGCATCCACTTTCTTCTCTCCGGTTCAGTGCCTCTTGGGATCAAGGGTCCAGTCATTGGCCTTGGACCAAGAACAAAATGAATAAATGCCTTGGTGTGGGCTCTGTTATTCAAGGCACACTCGCGTCTGGTGTGTGGCATAGCTAGGGGTATGGTTCGCAGCTAGGCCTGGGGCCTGGAGACATAACCTTCCCTGTTCTCTTTGACTTTCCTATCAGAGTACCTATGAGCCACAATGATGATACTATAGGAGTCACTTTGACTCTACTCGAATTACTAAATTCTACTCTAGCATTCTGCTTCTAGAATTACTAGAGAAAATTACTTCACTTTGGGGTTCACTCATGAGCTTTTTCCATCGTGAGCAAACACCATGATGCCTTCCTCTTGCTGGAGCCCTGTGAGGATGAGGAAGCTACGCTGAGACAAAGCCGTGCATGAGAGCTGTGCTGCTCTGCCTGCCACGTGCACACACATTACCAGAGCGTCTCATAAACATGCAGTCTCTGATTCAGTAGGTCTCGGATCTGTCCTGGGTTTCTGAATTTCTAGCCGACCCCAGGGCATACAAGTGCCACTGGCCCACAGACTGTGATTTGTGTAGCAAGGTTCCAAGGTGCTGGTACGCTTAGTAATGTTTGCAATTACTTCGCAGTGTGTTTTCTTTCTAATTACAAAATGTTCTAAACATACATATGATAACAAAGTAATAGAGTAGTCCTAAAGATTGAATAGTTATGTTTGCCTCGGATCTTTCTGTGATGACATAAAATGCAATAGAAGGAGCTGATTCCTGCCCACTCACCCTTTCTCTGTTTCCCAAGGTAGCCACTCTCCTGAAGCTGGGGTGTGCTCCTCCAGTGCATGTTTTAGACTGTGACTACAGATGCGTTCTTTTGTGTTTCAGAAGGACATCTTGCAGTGTGTTCATGCACACACACACACACACACACTTACATGATCTGCAAATTTATCTTCCTTAATTATTCTTAGCACCAAATTGTGTGTGACATGTTTTAACCAATCTGGACTCCCCAGTGTAAAATAAAACTGCCATCTTTAGAGAGGGAAGCATTTCTTGGGCTCATGATAGGATTGGGGGTCCTAGGAATACCCTAGACACACACACACACACACACACACACACACACACACACACACACACAAAATGAGAACCACCATCCTGAATCCTTGGTATCTGGGGTCAGGCTTCAGGGGGACACCTGAGCTGGGTTCTCATGGGGCTGGGTTGCCCCCTTCCTTCCCTGGCTCTGCTTTCTTCTTCTTCCTACTGCCATCCCTTTTCCAGCTTTCCAGCGGCCACCATGACCCCAGGGGGAGGAGAAGGCTTGGCTGTGGGGCTCAGGGTGGGGCACAGAGTCATGGTGAGGATAGGATGCTTCATGATGGTGACTGTGGTCTTTTTCCAGGAGACGACCTCATGCGCTGTGTGGATCTCTACAACCAGGCCCAGTCCAAATGGTTTGAAGAGATGGTGACCACCACATTGGTAAGCGGGCAGGGATGTGTGGACATGGCAGTACAGAGGCTGACACAGAGCAGCCCCTGGTGGTTGTTGGTGGGCGCGGGGATGATGGGGTGGAGTGACCCTGGAGATGGTCATCAAATCTACTTCAGTGTTGGGGTCGAAACCTCAATGTGAGCCAGCTTATGTGGATTCAGATCTCTGCTCCAGCGCTTCCTAGCTGTGTGGATGTGGGCAGGGTTGGGTTGGATATGGCTACATCCTTCTTGGGCTGTCCCCTGAGAGGTCAGGGTCAACTGAGGACTCTCCTCAACTAAGTGGACAAGGGCCTCTTTAGGAAAAATAGCCAAGCTATAGGAAGAGAGGACCGCCCCACACATGCACACACACGAGTTGCAGGTCCTTGGTAGGAGATCCTTGCAAAGTGGATGGATGGGTGAGGATGGAGCTAGGCAGTGGGGTGGGGGAGGCCTCTCACCAAGGGTGAACAACAGGCGGCAGGGCCGATGATGCTCTTGAGTATTTCTTGTAAAGGGGCAGCATCTCCTTATCAGTCAGCACCTGCCTGAGTGGACAGTGAAGTGTGGCTGGTACTTGGGCCAGATGGGACAGGAGGCATCATGCCAGGTGCTCATCGGATCAGCCCACTGCCTAAAGCCACCCCTGTCCATCCAGCACAGGACTAACCAGCTGCCTTCCCCAGGTGTCAGCCCACCAGAGCAGATTAGAGGCCTCCACCAGGGACAGTGACCTAGTTTTCCTCCTGGTTAATCTCCTAATTAAGCCCCCTGCTTTACCCCCCTTTCTGATTAATCACCTGGGCAGTGACCTAGTTGTATGCAGAGTAACAGCCGGATCCCCTAGATTCCAAAGACACAAAACCATCTAGAAACCAGAGGACAAACCCTTTCCACGCTCCCCTTTGACAAAAGCTGTGCCACGTGCAGCCCAGTCTGCCTCCCTGGCCCGGTCTCTATTGCGGCCACAGCACTAGGCATAGGCAGAGGAAGGGAGGCTGCTCAGCAGAGGCCCAGGGACAAGGTCCCAGGAATGTGTGGCATGGAGCTCCCACATGTGCCCCCTTGTTATACCCCATCAGGGCACCAGGGCCAGGGCTGCATGGGTGCATTGCCATGAGTAACAGCCTGATGGACTCTGGTTTAAATCCTGTTCCTCCCATAATTCCGTGTCGCTTTGGGTGAGCTGTGTTGTTGCCTCTCTAGGTGTTAGTTCCCCAGTTCCCTTGCTTGGAGAATGGGGATAATAACAGAAACGATCTCTTAAAATTGTAACGAGGACAGTTAAGGAACGCACGTAAAGCCCTCAGCACTGTGCGTGGCGGAGCAGGATTTCAGGAAGTAAAACAGCCGCTGCTGCTGTCATCAGCTTCACCTTCACCTTAGATATGGGGCACGCTCTTCATCAGACCCCAGAGAGTCAGATGGGACAGAATGTCCACAGCCAGTGACTTGCGTTTTGTGGTCTTGGTGGGGGGACCCCCAAGTGGAGGGGACGTGCTCAGAGTTCTCTGGCCTTTGCTTTCTCGGCAGGAGCTAGAGCGGCTGGAGGTGGAGAGGGTAGAGATGATCCGGCAGCACCTGTGCCAGTACACGCAGCTGCGGCATGAAACAGACATGTTCAACCAAAGCGTGAGTTTCCAGCCCAGCGGGGCTCCCGGGCGACACGGGGCCTGGGGAGAGCCGCCTGGCGCTAGGCCGTGGCAGGTTAAGTGGCTGCTGCAAGTGAATCTGCCCTAAAGGCGGGCAGTGGGCAGGTGCTCTGGCCTGGGGGTGGCCTCGTGGACTGGGCCTCTCAGGATTGTCCTGGACGTCTGTGTGATTCCGACCCTGGCACATGAAGTGGACACACACGTGAGCTGTTACCCTGAGGAGAAAGAAGCTCGTAACAGTTACAGTAGCTGAAGACATTATTAAATTTCTTAAAAAACAAAACCAAAAAAAACAACTTCTAGAAATATTCACAATACCTAAAGCTCAAGTTTTATTTGTCCTGTTCACTGGTGGTAAATGTGGGGTGGAAGGGATAGAGACAGGTTTTAAGGCCCTCCTGGCCTCTCATCCAGGCCTGGGGTCTGCAGGGTGAGAAGCAGGGTCGGGATGCATACTGGGTTCCCCGTTCACAGCCCTCTTCATGTGCTGTCCCTCAGATGGGCCTCCCCCTGGGGCCCCGGAGCCCTCTAGAGAGGCTGCTCTCAGAGACACTAAGGTGAGGACAGCATGTCTCAGAGGAGACCTCCCTGGCTTGGCCGCCGTCTCTAACAGTGTCGCATTTTCTCTGTCTCTTGCAGACAGTCGAGCCCGTGGATCAGCTGCTTCGAAAAGTGGACCCGGCCAAAGACAGGGAGCTGTGGGTCAGAGAGCACAAGACGGGCAACATCCGCCCTGTGGACATGGAGATCTAGATGGGCCTGTGCAGCTTCGGGGGGTCCTGCTGGGGAGGGGGGCTGGGCTCCCACCATGGGGCCCATGCCGAGTGGATGCCCCCCACCCTCTCTCCTGGGCCACTGAGGAGAGGGGAGAGAGCTGGTGATTCCAGAAGGGTGACCCGGACAGCCTAGCTGGGGGCTCCCCCATATTCCCAGGCCCAGAAGACAGACCCACAGCCCTGCCCTTGTCTCTGAGGCTGAAGACCCCCTGACTCCCATGCTGTGCTTGCCGCTCTGAAACAAACAGAGGCTGGAACTTTGTGGTCCTTGCCGAGTTTTGTAGGGGTCACTGTCACATGCTTGTGCCCTGGAAGCCCCAAGGCTCTTCCTCCAGCTGGCTCCCTTGTCTCCAGGGCTTTGGAGGATCAGGGTAGGGAGGGCTCTGTCTCTAAGCCAGGTGTCAGGATCAGAATCATGGGTAGAAGGTGCCATTCAGCTCACAGCCGCACCCAGAATCCTTTGCAGCCCTCCTTCTTTATTTTTTTCCCATTGCATTCTGGGAGTCCACATCTGGCTTTCTCAGCCACTGTTCATCACCAGGGGTTTTAGGAGGAAGGCTTGGCTCCTGTCTTCCCAGACCCACCATGCCTGGAGAGGTCAGGATGGAACTACCTCATTCGGCAAATTAGCCCCAAATTGAGCGCTGAATCGTGTCCCATGAGATCAGGCGCCATCTGTAAAGTCTCCTCTGGAAATGCCAATCCATCCTTCCCCCAGCTGCTTCCTCGGGGAGGCCCCTGCCCCCACCCTGCCAGCCCTTCCCAGTCTCATTAGAGGAAGCTTTCCAAAGTTCTCAGTTATCAAGACCTCATCCAGCTCGTCCAAAGGCTTCAGGGATGGAAACAAACCAGCTCGTCTCAGAGGCCAGCAAGCTGGGGCCTGTCCGCCACGGTGCCCTGTGCACCTTTGGGCTGCCCTGGCCCCCACTCTCCCGGGCCGCCCACCACAGGCTCTTAATGGGGCCGGGTCAGTCCTACATGTGAGATGGGTTAGGGCAAGTCTTTGCCATCCCCCAGATGGCTCTGTCTTCTTGTGTATGGCAGGGCTGGGACTGCTGTCCCTTGTACAGTTTTCTGTCACTGGTGGGCACTGGACAGGCATAGCAGACTCTCTTGTGGCCACACTAGGTTGTCGCCTTTCAGGCAGTGTCCCGCCACCTTTGCTTCCCGCTCCTTCTGGACATTCCAGAGCCCTGCACCAAACCCTTACTTGGTGTCTGCACCTCCTTTCCCTCTCTCCATCTTCCAATCCCTGGAAAAGTCTGGTCTGAGTGTGACTTGGGAAGCTTTCAGTGCTGCTGTTTGGCCCAGCTCATTACTTTCTCCCTTTCTCTACCACAGCAAACACATTCTCCACCATGTCAGTCTAAAGAGTCTAAAGGGGCCGGGAGAAGCATGAGCGAGGGGCAGATTCTAGTCGGGAGCCCATGCCCTGGAAATCCATCTTTCTTCATCTTTCCCATTGACCACTTTGGGTTTGACCTGCACATCTGCAGTGAGGGCAGAATTCAACAAGCACAACTCACTGGTCTTTCAGTCAACGTGCTAGAAACCGATGACTTATTAATCTCTAATTTTTTGGCGCCTCTTTCATTGAATGAGAATTGCTTTCGTATAGTTCACATTAGAAAAATGCCTAATATACTAAAGTAAACCAAACGTTGTCACTTTTCTCTTGTTCTTGAAACATTGCAACCAAAAAGGTCAGCACAAAGGCCTTCACCTACGTGAAGACCTCCTGGTAGGATCTGTCCATGGGATGGAGAACCACTCTGTCCAGATCTGGGGTTGGGTCATGACACCAGCTACCAATTTTAGAATATTATTTCTTGGTTTCTTTATGAAAAATGGGTGCTAGTGGTAATTGCTTTGTGGCTTAGTAAACTACTCTGTGGATGATTTCCAAACATTCAAAGCCAATAGCCTTGTTATTAACAAGATATTTTGAGTACAATATGGCTCATTGACTTTTCCATTACATCTGAGGATTCCAGAGTCCTCTGTTCATCCCTGGGATAGAGTGAGCCCTCTTGCGTCTTCCAGGGTAGCTCAGGTTGGCCCAGTTTGGGCCAGTCCATTTTTGGAGGTCACTCTTTCCCCCCTCATCCCCTCACCTCCTTCTCTTTACCCCCTTCACGTACTTCCTTTCTTTCTTCCCTCTGTTATTCATTCATCAAGCAGGTTAAAGCCATTGTGCTAAGATCTAATCTGAGGACACTATAATGGCCCTGTCGTCAGGGAAGCCCGTGATCGCTCGTTTTCAGGGGTCTTACCGGTCAGCAACCTTGGCATTGATACATAGGCACTCTACAGAATTTAAGTTTTCAGAGGTAAGTCTGTTGTTCTGATTAATCTGCATTCATTCAGCGAATGCTCAAGACAAGCCAGGCATGCTGAGAAGCGGCGCTCTAGTTGTATGTAAGATGGGCATTCCTCTGCTCTCCTCTATTCTCCATGTCGACTGAGAAGAGTATAATAAGAACATTGTACCCTCTCCACACTTAACCCTCTGGGATTCTTTATTATAATATAAACCACCGTCGTGAGGCATTTACCTGTTGGATGGAAGGTAGACAGCAACAAGATTTTAATCACCTGGTCACCAGACCCTCACGGCCCATATCCAATTCGAATTTCAGAAATTTCTCTGTTTGCTTTAAATAACTCTTTACAAATAAGGGTCGGGCACGGTGGCTCACGCCTGTAATCCCAGCTCTTTGGGAGGCCGAGGTGGGCAGATCACGAGGTCAGGAGATCGAGACCATCCTGGCTAACATGGTGAAACCCCGTCTCTGCTAAAAATACAAAAAATTAGCCAGATGTGGTGGTGCACACCTGTAGTCCCAACTATTCGGCAGGCTGAGGCAGTAGAATCGCTTGAACCTGGGAGGCGGAGATTGCAGTGAACCAAGATCGGGCCACTGCACTCCAGCTTGGGTGACAGAGCAAGACTCCATCTCAAAAAAATTATAAATAACTCTTTGCAAATAGGAAAGTGAAGCTCAAGGGTAACCAGTGAGGCTATGAAATTGCCAGTGAATTAAGACCAGGGCTAGAGTCAACAGTCCAGAACCCCTATCCGTATGAACAGGGGCCCGTTTCTGGTTGAAATCAAGGTTAGGATGCAACTGAGAAAATAAAAGACTGCACTTTGGAGAGGCAAGCACGCTATCCGGGTTGTTGTTTTGTTTTATGTCTTGGTGCTTAGGTGAGGACTTAGCTGGGTTTATTCAAAGTGGGCGGGTCTGGGCTATTCTTGAGAATGTCCCTTCCATTTCTGAGAACAAGTCAGCCCCTTCTACCTGCCTCCACCCAGGAGACTGATGCACAAGATCTGTTTGTGAAAGCCTGATTTAAAAAGAAAAAAAAAATTCCTTAAGCCAAATGGTGTTCCAAGTTGGTTGCTGTGACAACCTCCAGGAAGAGCCACTTGTTACCCTCTATTCTTTCTAGTGCTTTCAGTCAGTGGCAACACATAGGCCCCTTGGACCGTGGGGATGGCGGCCCTGAGATTCTGTCAGTGGGACCACCCTGGGCCTCCTTTCTACCTCCACTCAGCACCCTGTTGGCCAAGGAGAATTTCTGCGGTGGGAGGCAGTGCTCTGCTAGTCAGGATTGATAAACAGCTGGGCACACCGAAACAGTGTACCAACGAATTCACCAACCAGGGGTTTCTTTCCCTACCCTTTGTGAAAACCAATCAATTACTAGATGAGTGGATGGATGCAGAAAAATCTGGGCTGAGCCAAAGTCCCTTTTGGAAATACAAGCCATAACATTCGAAGGACATCAGCGACCTTGGCTTGTTTAGGTGATTTTACTTCCAGCTGCAGGTAGTCTTGACAAGGAGTGTTTAAACAGAAGGCTCAAGATGCATTCCTTGTGTAGGTCGGAGAGAGCACTTCTAATGTTAAGTGGGGTACAGATCAGCTGCCCCCCCACGTAGCCTGGACATCGTCTTATCCCCATAATCCTTGCCATCCCTACAAGGCCCATCGCCACCACCTTTTCCCAGGTTTATTGAGGTATGATTGACATCCAGTAAAATTCACCCTTTGGAAATATACAGCTCTGTGAATTTTGACAAATTTAGTGTCTTGTGACCATCACCAAGATCAACCTGTTTTTAACCCTCCAAAAAATTCCCTTCTCCTGCCCTCTTTCCCTGGCAACCCTGATTGATTATCTGATCCTATAATTTTGCCTTTTCTAGAATGTCATATAAATGGAGTCACACTGATGTCGCCTTTTGAGTCTGGCATCTTTCCCTCAGCTTAATGCTTTTGAGTCATTCATGATGTGTGCGTGTGGTTTGTTCCTTCTCCTTGCCGGGAAGTATTTCATTGCATGGGCGTACTACTCTGCTTCTTTATTTTTACACTGAGCCTTTCGCCCTGGAAGTTCTTGGCCCAGGGTCTTCAACTTGTTTGCACGACCACTTCCAGCTTGCTGCTTCCTTCAGTTCCCCAGGCTCCTCCTCCAAATGCCAGCTGTGCCCACAAGCTGTTCTTAGGGCTCACACTCGCCTTTTGGCGCGTGGTGGGTTTTTGGTAGTGCAGAAAGAATCCAGGGATGGGAGGGGAAGGGACGGATGGGTGCTCAATTGCTGCTCACGTCTGCTGCAACCTGAAGCTTGCATCTCAGCCAGCAGATCTGCTCCCTTCTGGGACCCAGGCTTCAGTGTCACACGGTCCTTGGCTATGTATTGGGCGTTGGAGGCTTTGAAAGGCGAGCAGAAGCAGCATGGACAAGAAGGCTGGGGCTGGCCCTGGGGCTCATCATGATGCTTTCCTGGATCTGTTGCTTCATCTGCAAGCTGAGGGTGTTTGTTCTAGATGAGTGTCTCAGGCCACCGGCAACTGCATGTACCTCCTCCCTTTCTCATTTCCAATGATGTACCCTGTACACGTGTTCATGCTGTGTCTGGCTCTCATCTGCACAATCGTGCATAGAATTGCCTCAAGTCCTGGTGAGAGAGATGCCGTGGTACTTTTCCATTTAGATTCAAATGGAGCTAAAATTAAGAGTTTTATGAGCTGTTAAGAATGAGGTAGTTTCTCCTAGGACCCCCCAAAGACAGTGCAAGTAATGACCGTTTGGATCTCATTCGTCGATCTTTGATAGTATGTTCTGGAGTCTACTCCCCAGGAGCCAGGACAGGCGTGAAGATGGAGTCCTTGTCGCAGCTGGAGCCTTGCCTAGCTGGTGATCACACAGCCTGGCCTGTACCTGCACCCCACTGGATGGTGGTACATGGTGGCAGGGACAGGACCACACCCAGTTAAGGCCAGACCAGGCTGAGTGTGACCCCTGAGGTAAACACTCCACTAAGCTGTGTCTTGTTCATGCCCCCTGCTCAGTGAAAGGTGAGTCCCGAGACCAGTTGGGTACCTCTCTATGCGAACCAGAGACATTTCTGGATCCAGGCCAGGTGAAGATTAGGGCCAGGAAGCCTGAGCCCCCGGGGCCTCAAGGTAGGGAGCCGAAGAGGCTGCCAGGACTCTGCTGGGTTGAAATTTGCCGGGGAGGACTCTTGTCTCCCCCTCAGGAGTATTTTTGTTGAGGCTTTCCTGGAGGTGAAGAAGCAATTCCCATTGCAGCAGGTTAGAGCGAGAATCAGACAGAGGGCAAAAACCAATTCGCTTCTCCCCACGTTCTAAATGCTGGGGCATGGCTGTCAGGAGGGCTTCCTGGGAGGTGTCTCTGGGGGTGGGGTGAGGTTGGGGCGATGGCCTTTGGAGATTGCGTGTGGTGTTCAGGACTGTTCCTTGGTGTTTGAGGGAAACTTTAGTGGGATTGCAGTGGAATGTAAGGTCAGGGCACGTGGGTGCTCTCTCGGGGTGGGGTGACTGGGAGACCTAGAGGGAAAGCCTGCTATGCAGGGGGAGAGCACAGGACTGGCCCTGCTCTGCGGCCTCCTTTGTCCCATAACCTGAAGTTAAGTCACATCCCCTGTCGGGACCTCCGTGCACTCATCTGTCAAGTGGGGGCGCTTCCCTTCCAGCATCACCTGCAGCAGACGGGCTCTCGGGAGTCGTGGGTTCCAGGCAGCTGTGTGGACCCAGGGACAGACATTCAAAGGGACGCCAGCCATCCTTAGTGACAGGGGCCCCAACTTAGCATCCCTTCCCTTCCGTTAGGAAGGAGATGACCGGAAGCAACCCCTTCACAGACACGAGCACATCGGCAAACCCTATGAAAGTGGAATTTTCTAACAAAATAAACTTGCTTGTTTGATCTGTTTTCTGTAACTTTTGCTAAATACTTTATACATTTTTCATGTTAAAGAGCCGTGTCTCCCGCCAGCACTCCTCACCCCGGTATGAATGTGTTTCCTCCACATTGTATATCCTTCCACCCTCTGGCTGCCTAGATCAGTAAATAAAATTGATGTAATATAATTTATAAGTAACACTGTTGAAACCCTGATCCCAGTGGAGGCTGTAACCCACCTGCCCCCGCACCACCCCCCTGACCCCTGTTACCGCATTTGTGTGTATTAATGCTGAAGAATTAAATGTTTAAAGAGTTTAAATTTTGAAGGCGTTTGCTATATACAGTTGTCCTGCATTATTATAAAGAGTTTTCAGGAAGTTAAATCCCATCTCGTTTTTTTTTTCTTCTGCTCTGTGTGTATCCTCGAGATGCCTAGATTCATCCCATGTAAAATAAACTGTCCAGAGACACTAGGTCCCCCTAGGCGACCCTCTTTCCTGGAGGGCTGCCACATTCTTCATGTGACCTGTCTTGGCATCCCTCCTAGGCTCTCGAGATTGGTGGTGATTTCACCTCCGATGACTTAGCGGGAGACAAAGGGCATCTGGACACTGGCACCCAAATGGATGCTATGCTCCTGGCCTCAGGCCCCTCCCCCTGGTGACTTCCTGTCTCTGTGGGTTCCAGCCCTTTGCCTCCCTCTCATCTCTGGAGCTCCTGGCTGTTTCTTTTCTCATCCATCCATCCATCCGTTCATTTATATATATATATATAGAGAGAGAGAGAGAGAGAGTCTCGCTCTGTCGCCCAGGCTGGAGTGCAGTGGCACAGTCTCAGCTCACTGCAACGTCTACCTCCCAGGTTCAAGCGATTCTCCTGTGTCAGCCTCCCGAGTAGCTGGGACTACAGGCACGCCCCACCTCAACTGGCTAATTTTTGTATTTTTAGTAGAGACAGGGTTTTGCCACGTTGGCCAGGCTGGTCTCGAACTTCTGACCTTAGGTGATCCGTCCTCTTCGGCCTCCCAAAGTGTTGGGATTACAGGCATGAGTCACTACGCCCGGTCCCATCCATCTATTCATTCAATAATTACTGAGCATCTGGTATATGCCAGACACTGCTCTAGGTTCTGGGAACACATCAGTGTGAGAAACAGAGCCCTGCTCTCAGGTAGCTTACATTCTAGCAGACAAAAACAGTAGACCTACTATGTTCTGTGATGTGGGTGTGGATGGTGTTAAGTGTTGTGGAAAAGAAAACCAGGACAGGGTACGTTGCAGGATTCAATAGGGTCATTTGAGTGGCCTCATTGAGAAGGTGGTATTTGATCAAAGACAAGGAGACCTGGGAGGGACCCTGGAAGGTCACCAGAGGAGAGTGTTCCAAGCGGAAGAGATGCTCGCGTGTCTGAGGCCAGCCTGGCTGGAGTGGAGGGAGTGAGGAGGGAAGAGAAGATGAGGACGCTGGGCAACCCTCTTTCCTGGAGGGCTGTCACATTCTTTGAACGACCCGTCTCAGCGTTTCCCCCAGGTTCTTGGGATTGGTGGTGATTTTACCTCTGATGACTTAGCAGAGAGACAAAAGGCATCCGCCCCCTTTCATCCGTTCTTGGAGGTGCCAGAGGCCACTTGCGAGAAATGGTGGGATGAGGGCCAGTGCTGCCTGCTGCAGGCTTTTGGCTTGGACTGGGAGAAGTGGGCAGCCATAGTGCATGACCTGATTTCATGGCCATGGGGCTCACTGCGGGGCTGTAAGGGGACAAGAGCAGAAGCAGGAAGAGCTGTTAGGAGGCAGCGGTGATGCTGCCTGCACAAGGCAGGTGCAAGGGAGGCGGGAAGAACGGTCTGGTTCTGGATGTACCTTGAAGGTAGAGTCAAGATGATTTCTTGATAGATTGGAGTGGGTTGTGACCGAAAGAGAAACACTGAGAATGATGCCAAGGACCTCAATCCAAGTCATCAAAAGGATGGATTGTCATTTTCTGCAATGGGGACAGCTGTGGGAGGAGGGTCCTTCCCCATTCTCTGTCTCCCCCGCCACCTTCTCCATACCCCCTTTTCCCTCTCAATGCGGACTTCTCTGCAGGTGCTGGCTCCAGGCCAGAGGGCAGGAGGGTCGTCTTGGCCTTCAGCTCATAGCAGGCAAGGTCGAGCAATGGGGAAGGGGTGGCGTCTGGGTCCCAGCTAATGGCCAAGATGGAGCTCCTGCTTGAGGGGACAGGGCCAGCTTCTGGGAAGCATCTTTCAGTCCAGCGAGGAGAGCGAGACCAAAACTGGGATCCTCTGCCTGGAGATGAAGCCTTCTCCTCTAGAGCAGTCTTTGGGTTTTGGGAGAGTTTATGGCCCCAGCTCAGACTTAACAAATCGACTCACAATACATCATCTCCAACAACTTGTTTGGCTAAGGAGCATAAGCTCTCCCTCTGATAGAAGATGTTTATGCAGGTTTTCAAACAAACCTCCAGGTCATGACCCCTCACTCTCAGCATCAACACAGCTGCCTGCGGTCCCCTGGGGCCCCTCCTGGGCACAGCAACCTGGAGAATGTGGACTGTACCAGGCTGCTTCCGACCTGGGTCCAGCTCCTTCCTCCTTGTGCCTGGAGAGGACAGCAAAGACTGGAGGGCTCTGGCTGCCTTCTGCCTCGCCCAGGGCCTCTTTCATTGACATGGTAACCCCACCTCCTCACCTACTTGTCCTCTAGGCTCAGGCCTCCTGTGACGTAGACAAAGGAAGCCTAAATGGACAGGCTGGCAGACCTGGACTTTCCTTCCTTCTGGCATTGCCATTTAGCAACCATGTGACCCCAGGCTGGTGACATGCCTTTAGGAGGCCCCACTTCTCACTTGTAACACTGGCTTCGCCTCATCTGCTGCAGGCTTGATGTGGACAGGGGTGCGATCCAGGAGGCACTTCCAGTCGCCCCCTACTAGTGGCTCAGAGCAAGGGGCCGAGGCCTCTGACCTCACTCTCCCTCCATCCCCAGGGCTGCAAGGAAGCTCTGGAATGAATGCGATTCCAGGGTGTGGCTTGGGCTCCCGTTTGTTTTCAAGGCTAGTGACTGTCCTGTTTCTAACTGCTCTTGAGAATAAATGCACGCTACAGGATGGTGAAAGCCTAGGAGAGGAAGGACTCCTATTCAGAAGTAATATTCTCACTGGGCGCAGTGGCTCATGCCTGTAATCCCAGCACTTGGGGAGGCCAAAGCAGGCAGATCATGAGGTCAGGGGATCGAGACCGGCCTGACCAACAAGGTGAAATCCCATCTCTGCTAAAAACACAAAAATTAGCTGGGCATGGTGGTGAGCGCCTGTAATCCCAGCTACTTGGGAGGCTGAGGCAGGAAAATCGCTTGAACCTGGGAGGCAGAGGTTGCAGTGAGCCGAGATCGTGCCATTGCACTCCAGCCTGGGCGCAGAATGAGGCTCTGTCTTAAAAAAAAAAAAACAAAAAAAACAAACAAACAAAAAAAAAAAAACTCACAAAGTGATGGAAAAAAATTAGAAAGTTCACACACACACCCCAATATGCAGGTTTCCTGAGAAATCTCTGAAACTGTACTGGGCAGAGCGGCTGGGAGGGATGAGTCTGCCCCTTGGTGCCTGAACCTCTCGGTCCTTCCAGAGTGACATGAGGTGGGCCTGGCAGGTGGCTTTCTCCCAGCAGCAGGGACCTACCTTCTGCTGCCACTAGCCTGTTAGTAAGTAGGCTAAAATCCCCACTTTACACTTTGAGATGCAAGGCGGGCGGATCACCTGAGGTCAGGAGTTTACGAGACCAGCCTGACCAATATGGTGAAACCTCGACTCTACTAAAAATACCAAAAAAAAATTAGCTGGGCGTGGTGGCAGACACCTGTAGTCCCAGCTTCTCAGGGGACTGAGACAGGAGAATTGCTTGAAACCAGGAGGCGGAGGTTGCAGTGAGCCAAGATCGTGCCCAGCCTAAGTGACAGAGGGAGACTCCGTCTAAAAAAAAACCAGTTTACCTGCCTGGAGACCGTGGGGTTTATTCTTCATCATTCTCACCCCAGGGCAAAAAGAGACAACTCTCCATCCACGGTGGCAAGGCTGGGGTTCTGAGTGTGTCCCCTCGAGCACTGCGCTCCGCTAAGGAAAGTGCACGCCCACCCTCCCTTCCTTCTGGGTGACAAGAATCCAGGTGTGCAGCGTCCTCACTAGGTTGCTTCCTCGTGCTTGATACTCCCCGCTGAGCTGCACAGACGCGAAGCCTGCCTTTGCACAGCTCCGTCTCTGACCACTCAGTTATTTATCCATTCACTCAGCAAACACGTTTTCTTGCCTGCTCACTCCAAGTCCACTGCAGACGGACACCCTGCAGCCTGCCATGGACCCACAGATAGATTGTGTTTGGCCCACACCATGTTTTGTTTTGTTTTTGTTTTTGTTTTTGTTTTGTTTTTTTGAGATGGAGTCTCACACTTGTCACCCAGGCTGGAGTGCAATGGTGCAATCTCGGCTCACTGCAACCTCTGCCTCCCGGGTTCAAGCGATTCTCCAGCCTCAGCCTCCCAAGTAGCTGGGATTACAGTCACCTGCCACCATGCCCGGCTAATTTTTTGTATTTTTAGTAGAGACAGGGTTTCACCATGTTGGCCAGGCTGGTCTCGAACTCCTAACCTTGTAATCTCCCCACTCAGTCTCCCAAAGTGCTGGGATTACAGACGTGAGCCACCATTAAAATTTTGAATTAATTGCCAAAGTTGAAAAGTGTGGAAATTGCAAGAAAAATTCTGATTTTTGGATTTCTCTTGAATAATTTAAAAAAACCCAAAAATCTCACCATCCCATGTGACCACGTTCTCTGGCAGCCCCTTCCCGAGGTGACACAGGCCTGGCTGCCCCCTGCTGGTCCCTTCAGGCAGTTCACCTTCACTCCCTGTGACTGATGGACAATAACAAAACGAGTGTTTAGCATTAGCCATGTGCCAGTTTCTAAGTGTGTCAGACATATTGACTCACATCAGCCTCACAATGACAGTGTGGTAGATGCTATGATGCCCATTTATTCAAGAAAGACTTGCTGGGGGCCCAAGCCTATCAGGTTCTGGCAATGGAAATGCATCCGGGAACAACACAGACAAAATCCCATCCTTCACGGAGCTTTCATTCCGGTGAGGGGACATGCAGCGTGCCGATGATGGTGGGGGTTGTGCTATTATAGATAGAGGGTCAGTATAGGCCTGGCTGAGCAGGTGACATTTAAGCAGAGACATGACTGCAGTGAAGGTTTAGAAGAGTGTCCCAGGTGGAAAGAGGTGAAGAAACAAGCCTGGGGCCACACAGCTAGTTAAGTAGCCAAGCTGGGACTTGAACCCATGCTGGCCCCAGAGTCTGTGCTCCTAACCATTGCATTCTAGGGCTTGATATGAGATGCCAGCCCCGCCCCGAGATGCTCAGAGTTAGTGAGGAAGAGAAACAGGGAACATGGCTGCTGTTAGAGGGCTGGGGCTGGGGGTGCCGGAGGCCCCAGCTCTGAGGGTTCCAACCTCCTGTCCTGTTCTAGTATCGTCCCGGGAGGCCGAGATGAATTGCCTGCCTGCCCTGGGCTCTTTATTTTAATCTCACTAGGGTTCTGGGAGCACCCCCCCCCACCGCTCCCGCCCTCCACAAAGCTCCTGGGCCCCTCCTCCCTTCAAGGATTGCGAAGAACTGGTCGCAAATCCTCCTAAGCCACCAGCATCTCGGTCTTCAGCTCACACCAGCCTTGAGCCCAGCCTGCGGCCAGGGGACCACGCACGTCCCACCCACCCAGCGACTCCCCAGCCGCTGCCCACTCTTCCTCACTCATGGGGAACAGCAAAAGTGGGGCCCTGTCCAAGGAGATCCTGGAGGAGCTGCAGCTGAACACCAAGTTCTCGGAGGAGGAGCTGTGCTCCTGGTACCAGTCCTTCCTGAAGGACTGTCCCACCGGCCGCATCACCCAGCAGCAGTTCCAGAGCATCTACGCCAAGTTCTTCCCCGACACCGACCCCAAGGCCTACGCCCAGCATGTGTTCCGCAGCTTCGATTCCAACCTCGACGGCACCCTGGACTTCAAGGAGTACGTCATCGCCCTGCACATGACCACCGCGGGCAAGACCAACCAGAAGCTGGAGTGGGCCTTCTCCCTCTACGACGTGGACGGTAACGGGACCATCAGCAAGAATGAAGTGCTGGAGATCGTCATGGTCAGTCTCCCCTCTCCCCTTCTGGCTGGGCGGTGCCGGGGTCGCTCCGGGCTGGGGGTCCCCTGCTGCAGCTGCTGCAGAGGGAGTGGATCTGTGGGTGGAGCGGGGGATGCGGGCCACTGGCTCTGAGAGCGTGGTGCTCCGAGATGCTGATATTGATAGAGGGGTGGGCACTTGCCCACAGCTTCGTTGTCTTCCCGGAGCAGAATCTGAGTGTTTCCTAATACAGCCATGTTATGCTTGGCTTCACGATGTTTGGGTCAACAACGGACGATATAGACCACTGTGGTCCCATAAGATTGTAATGGAGCTGAAAAATTCCTACTGCCTAGTGACGTCATAGCACAGTTACTTTATTTTTCAAATGCATTTAGTGTAGCCTAAGTGTATCCGTAAAGTCTGTAGTTGTGTACGGTAATGTCCTAGTTCTTCACATTCACTCACTACTCACTCACTGACTCACCCAGAGCAACTCCCAGTCCTGCAAGCTCCACTCATGGTGAGTGCCCTAGACAGGTCTACCATTTTGTATCTTGGTTTTTTATTTTTTATTTTTTTGAGATGGAGTCTCACTCTGTAGCCCAGAGCTGGAGTGCAATAGTGCGATCTTGGCTCACTGCAACCTCTGCCTCCCGAGTTCAAGCAATTCTCCTGTCTCAGCCTCCCGAGTAGCTGGGATTACAGGTGTGCACCACTATGCCTAGCTAATTTTTGTATTTTTAGTAGAGACGGGGTTTCACCATGTTGGTCAGGCTGGTCTCAAACTCCCGACCTCCAGCGATCCGCCAGCCTCAGCCTCCCAAAGTGCTGGGATTTACAGGCATGAGCCACTGTGCCCGGCCCATTTTTTATCTTTATACTGTATTTTTACTGCATGATTTCTATGTTTAGCTATGTTTAGATGCACAAATACTTACCATCGTGTGACAACTGCCTGCAACATTCAGGACAGTCACGTGCTGCACAGGTTTGTAGCCTAGGAGCAAAAGGCTGGACCATGGAGCTCAGGGATGTAGTCGGCTCTACCATCTGTGTTCGTGCAAGGATGCTCTATGATGTTCCCACATAGAAGTTGCCTTAAGATGTGTTTCTCGGAATGTATTCCTGTCTCTGAGCGACACGTGACTATATTTACATTTTTTCTTTCTCTCCATCCTTTGTTTCTTCCTTCCTTTATTAAAATGTCCTTTGAAATTTTCAGCAGTACACATTCAAGTTGAATCACTGTTCATTCTAAACACACAATATGCTTCTAATATAAAGTAGAAAGAGGTCAAAGTTGGGGGCATGAACTCTGAGTTCTAGTCCTCATGTTCTCCCCAGCGCGGGGCGGATCATGGCACCACGCATGAGCCCCCGCTTCCCACGCGCGGCGTGGCTCCCCGGCTCCTGACAGTTTCCCTGTGAGGCGCACAGGCTTCCATATGGTTCCCAACACGCCTTCTCCCCTGTCCATACTGTCCTCCTGTCAGATCCTTTGTTGTGAAAGTAATGGCAAAAACCATAATTACTTTTCCACTAACCTCGTAGGTGTCTTGAAAATGGTTTATCTGATATAAAAGTAACTCATGAAATTTAGAAACCTAGGCAAAAGAGACTAACAATTGCCTCTAATTCCAACATCCAGGGAAAACTTTTCTTAGTATATCAGTATATACCTTTTCAGTCTTTTACCTATATAATTTTAAATAATGTTAAAGCTATGACATATTCACATACGATTTTTTATCATACATTTTTCAGTTACTCTTTTATCATGAGTGCTTTCCATATCATTACATATTCTTCCAAAACACTTTTTTTTTTTCTTCAGACAGAGTTTTGCTCTTGTCGCCCAGGCTGGAGTGCAGTGGCGTGATCTCAGCTCACTGCAACCTCCCCCTCCTGGGTTTGAGCAATTCTCCTGCCTCAGCCTCACGAGTAGCTGGGATTACAGGCACCTGCCCAGCTAATTTTTGTATTTTAGTAGAGACGGGGTTTCACCATGTTGGCCAGGCTGGTCTCGAACTCCTGACCTCAGGTGATCTGCCCGCCTCGGCCTCCCAAAGTGCTGGGATTACAGGCGTGAGCTTCCGCACCCAACCTCTTCCAAAACTCTTTTAATAGCTGCTTGGAATTCTGGCTTATGGAAATGTGGAAATTATTGAACATTCCTATGTTTTTGGACATTAGGTTGTTTCCATTTCTTTCCTATTATACCAGTTCTAATTTCCTTCATTTGATTTTTTTTTAATTTATTCTTTTTCAGTCCCCCTGCCCCTGCCACTTACCTTATTCTTCTAATTCCATTCCTGTTAGTAGAGACTATTGTTTAGATGTTAATAACTTTGTGTGCATTGGCAATCATGCTTTCATTTGCATGATGACAAATGCACAAAAATCTTCCACAGTTATTAGGAGAAATCATAAATAAAACAGCAGAGCATGCAGCTTGTGGTCCATGGGCTTATCCTCAATGCTCAGCTCGGGCCTCCCATTCTGGCAGGCATGTGTCTCTCTCATTGTTATCTTGGCACAGCCTGCAGAGAAAGCTCCCTCGGATTGGCTGTGGGGTCTCTGGGTGGCCTGGGACAGGGACTAAGTCTTCAGAGTGGCATAAACAATGCAGGGCCCAGCAGAAGCCTACAAATTGATACTCATTGAATAAAAGGAGGAGGAAAGGGAGGAGGGGGAAATGAGGGAGGGAGAGAGGGAAGGTAGGAGTCAGGAAGGAAAGAGGGGGAAGCAAGGGGAAGGAGAGAAGGAAGGGAGGGAGGAGAAGGAAAGGAGGAGAGAAAGGAAGAAAGAAGAAAGGAAAGGGAGGGAGGGAGACTCCATCAATGGCTGGGGCTGTGCAAGGTGGCAGAAGGCTCTGCTATTCACCAGATTACAAGTTCATGGGCAGAGCACTGACTGAGGGAGTTAAAAGTGAAGGGTTCTAGTCCCAGCTCTGACTCCAACTAGCAGTGTTGCTGTGGGAAAACCATATAACCTTCCTGGGCCCAGGGTGAGGATTTGATTATTTTTGCAGTCTTTCCTGAGGCTCTGGAGGTCTGTCCCTCCGTGTTGGAAGTGGGGTGGGCAGGCACTCACTGCCAGCTTCTAGCTGGCACACCTGCACATGGTGCCCAAGGCCCTGCACAGATGGATAGGAGTGTAGGAGCCACCTACACTGGCGTCCAGCTCAGGGCTTTGAGTGCTGCCAGCGACGCTGCTGCCCTGGGCTGTGGCTTTGGCCTCTTTACTCCTTTATCCAGCACCAGGGGGCTGAAGGGAAACTTCTCAAAGCTGTCGACCTTCCCTCCAGGATAATTTCACAGCCATTATTGCCCCTGCCTGACCTGCTCACAGGTGTCTCCGGGGAGGCAGAACGCAAATGGTTTGCGAATGTTTTCTCCCATTCCATAAGTTACATTTTGATTTTGTTCATTGTTTCCTCTGACATGGAGAAGCTCTTTAGTGTGATGCTATCCTGCTTGTTTATTCTGGTTTATGTTGCCTTTGCTTTTGGTGTCATATCCAAAAAATTATCGTCAAGACCAGTGCCAAGAAGCTTTTCCCCTACGTTTTCCTCCAGCAGTTTGACGGTCTGAGGTCTTATGTTTAAGTCTTTAATCCATTTTGAGTAGATTTTTGTGTACAGTGTAAGATGTGGATTTTCCAGGGTTGCCAGCCCCTTAAAGTTCCTCCTAACGAGTTCTTTCTTTCTGTTTGGTACAGGCTATTTTCAAAATGATCACTCCCGAGGACGTGAAGCTCCTTCCAGACGATGAAAACACGCCGGAAAAGCGAGCCGAGAAGATCTGGAAGTACTTTGGAAAGAATGATGATGGTGAATTCCTTTTCCTTCATTGCCTTTGATTTTTCAACCATGGGCTGTTTCCTGGAAATCCCAACAAGATTTATTCTTCTGAGTCACAGTGTCCAGGCAGGATGGGGGACACCTCATTCCATTGTGCATTTTCAGAGCTGTTTGAAGGGTTGGACAGGGGAATGGCCTTAAGGGTGAGCAGGAGCCAAAACTGTTTTCTGTGCAATTAGAACAAGAGCAAACTTCAGCTCACCCTAGCTTTGAATTAATATCGAGTCCCAAGTCAGTGGGATCTGTATTTCTATGGTTTTACTTTGGGAAGTTGGTTTGGGTCCTCTGAGAAACACCACCAAGATAGGATTAGATTTAAATGAGATTGCAAGAGATTTATGGGAGGAAAGGCTGAAGAAGGAAAACAGGCTGGGATCGAGAGGAGGCTGGGAAAGCTATCAGACTGCCAAGCAGATCTGACCCCTGGCAGGGAGAGAGGGAAAGAAAGGAAGGTTAGGAAAGAAAGGAAGGTTAGGAAAGAAAGGAAGATTAGGTAAGTAATGCCCGAGACTGCAGTGCAGTCTGAGGAAGTGTTGACAGAGTCGATGGGGTGTCCTCAGTGCCCCTGTCAGTCTTGGTGCCCCTGCCCTGTCAGTCAGTGGCTGGAAGCAGCCCCCAGGAAGTGTGATCCTGCACTGTAGGCAGTGATGGACTCCAGCACTCGGCTGCTGGGGCTGTGTGTCTGTGATGCTTACGGCCAGCACAAGGATGCGGTAAAGGAGCTGGTATTAGGCTGGGGCTGCAAACACATATGGCTGGAGGGGCAGGAATGATGAAAACGAGTTATGTGGACAGTCATCTACAAGCAGTGGGGATTGGCAAACAGCAGAGGGTGCACCTCTGGTCTGATGGCTTCCAGCATATTCCATGTGGGGCTATGGAACCCGTGGTTGAGACATCATCTGATTTTTTTTTAAGAGAAGCCAGCCATGAAGACTTTAAAAATCCAGTGTGTCTCAACTGATAAAACACAGCATGGCCCAAACACATCCAAGGGTCCTGTATTAACCCCTTTGGTGACCTCTGGAGGCAGTCTTCTGCCAAGGTTCAAGAAGAAAAAGCTGAGCAGGATGCTAAATAAGGGCAGAGAGAGATGACCCTGCTCCTCCTAATCTGCCAACAAATGATGAAATAAGAGAAGCATGAAGGTCATTGGGGTAGGAGGAACATAGGACACAGAATTTAAGGAGGCGCTCGTTCTCAGGGGTCAACAATGCACTCACAGGACCTGAAAGTGAGCGCCTCCTTAAATTCGCGCCTTGGTACTTTACCCACCTTTCCCTCATCGGCCCGGATTGGCCCCTCACCTTTGAGCACTCTCTCCTCCTTGCACAGACACTGGCTACCAAGATGCCTTCTTTTGGCACTTTGCCCCACTGGCTCCTTAACTGGCTTCGCGACCTCCCTCTGGGTCCGTTCATGTGTCGAGCCCTGTGTTCTGCTTTTTGCTCATCTGAAAACCTCCCTGGTGAACATCCCGGGAGGGGATGACGTCAGAAGCCCCGAGGTCGACGTGTTACTCCTGTTCGTGATGTGTTGTACGTGTTTCCACGCGGCCCATCTGGAGACAATGCCTCAGGGCAGAGTCAGGCTTTGATGGTGGGAGTTTCAAGCTCTCTGTGAGCTCTCTGTGGGGTGGCTGGGATGTTAAAACCCAAATTTTACCACCCAGACTTGCGGAGGAAGCCATCCTGGATCCTAACCCAGAAGGGATTAAAGGTATCCAAAAGGCCCAGAGCATAAGTCAGAAATCACATTCAGTTCAGCAAAGCTTTGTTGAGCACCGACTCTGTGCTAGGCACTGTGAACATACAACAGAAAGGAGCATCTGTCTCATGCTAGAGGTATTTCTGCGTGTGACTGCCTTCCCCGCCAGGTCAACAGTTTCCCAGGGAGGGACTTCATCTCACTCTCTTCTATTGTACACCCCGCCTCCGCTCCCTGTGGTGGCCTTGGCTCCAAGCACAGTGGCATCTGGGCTCAGGACCATGCATTTAACTGGACTGATCTGAATACAGTTAGCCACCTGATTAAAAACACCGGAAAACCAGGTGTGGGCGCAACAAGGCTGTCTCTCAGTCCTGATCCCAAATAAGGAGGCAGATGAGACTGGGGGACGCAGGGATGGATGCATAGGAAGGGATCATGGCGGAGTTGTCAGCCAGGAATCATGGGGCTGCCTGTGTGCTGCAGGTGCCAAAGAGACCTCTCTGCAAGCCACACTCCCCCTGGCATGATCTCATTGGGCCCTTCACTTCTCACTCCTATTTCTGGAGGGATGTTGTTCCCTGCTTCTCAGCTGAGACTCTGGGCCTGACATCCAGATTGTTTTGCTATGCTCAGACCCCCAGAAGCTCCTCCTGAACTTGATCCTTGAAACTTGAGCTACTATAGAAAATAGAATAACAATTAATAGTTATTAATTATTGAAGTATTTAATAACCAGCAAGGCAGGGGCACCGGCCAATCGGAAGAGACACATAGCACAAGACTGGCATCTTGGGGGCCCCCCCAGTGCCAGTCATTCACCGCTCTTTGCTGGTCTGCAGGGAGCTCCAAGGGTCATGGGAAAGGAGGTGGGTATCTGGACTGGGGTGGGGGAATATTGAATACTCAGGGCCACTGAGTATTCAATATTCTTATAATAGATACATTCACACTGGGGATACTGGCTAGATGTCAGCCTCATCGCAGCTCACTTGGCTATCAATCCTGACTGTTTTATGTACGTATATATTTTTTCCCAATGCACAGATAAACTTACAGAGAAAGAATTCATTGAGGGGACACTGGCCAATAAGGAAATTCTGCGACTGATCCAGTTTGAGCCTCAAAAAGTGAAGGAAAAGATGAAGAACGCCTGATGCCAACTGTTCAGCTGTCCTCCCTCCACCTACCACTCACATGACACCCGTGAGCGCCTGTGCACACACACACACATGCACACACACGCGCGCGCACACACACACACACACATCCACCCCAGGGCCAAGAGAAAGGCCTGCACACAAGCCCACAGCACAGCTCCCTGCCAAACTGAAGCATCTGTAGTGACCCACTGGTTCCTTCTTCCTGGGTCTTCAGCATTCCCTCCCATCATGCCCGGTCCCACCCCTCCCTCTGTCCACCAGCCCATGGCCCTGTGCTAATCCCAGGATTAGGCCATAGGAGTCCTAAGTGTCACCCCGCTGTAAGCTCCTTTGTGGAGTGCTGGGTAAGCAGTTTCCAATAAACGCAAGCTGAGCTGGGCACGTGGCTGCTGGTCATCCTTCAACTGGAAAAGGAAATGATTTCTATCAGTCACACCTCAAAGACAAGGCTGTGTTGCGATGGCAGCCCTAGGCTGGGCTGCTTTGGTGCGGAATGAGTCTAATGCGGTCCTGCTGTCATGGAGCTCATGGTCCAGAGGGGACAATGAACCTGGAAGGAGCCATGACCAGTGGCCCAGGTTACCATGGAAACGTGCAGAGCACCAGGGGAGGACACAGTGGAAGGGGCTGACTTGTCAGGGGGGATCAGGGACCACATCCCTGACGAAGGGAGATTTAAATTCAGAACCACTGCACACGAGGCGGGGGACGGGGTCGGGGTGGGGAAGTCTCAAACAGAAGGCGGCCAACACAGAGCCGCTGAGGCATGAATGACCATCTCGAGTTCCAGGAGAAGGTCGGGGTGGCTGGAGGGTAGAAGGAGGAGGGAGAGCAAAGTGTGAGCTGAATCTAAAAGGTAGGCGGGGGCTGGACCACGCAAAGCCCTCCCTGCAGCCTGTGGTAAGCACTTGGGGGCTCACCATGGGGACAGCGGTGCCACTGTGGAGTTGGAAGTAGGAGGGGTTTATGTTTGTAAGAGAAGTCCCCAGCAGGCTAAAATAAGTCAGAGAGGAGCAACTGGGGGCTCCCTGGAGTCAGGGAGCCCGATGAATAAGCTTTTGCAGCCACTCAGATGGCCTGGGCCAGGGGAAAGGCAATGGGATGGAGAGGACCAGATCCAGTGAGGACACATTTAGGAGGTAGCATCCACCTGGCTGGCTGAGGGGGCAGGAGGAGAGAGGGCAGGAATGGCAGCCAGGCCTGTAGCTTGGGCAGTGGGTGAATAGCAATGCCATCTATGGAGATGAGAAATACAGAGAGTCTTTGGGGTTTCAGGGAACAATGATGAATTCAGCTTCAATATAGTATGAGGTGAAGGCAGAGCCATAGATGGCCCTAAAGCCCCTTGTTTTAGAGACAAGGAAAAGGAGTCCCAATGACAGGAAGCAGCTTGCCCAAGGGCAGCCAGCTGATGAGCAGAGGTCAGGCAAGGGCTACCCACCGGCCCCCAACTGCCTCCTCAAAGCTCCAGGGCCTGGGATACCCAGGAACTCCATCAGTGCATTCTCCAAGATCCCTGGATTTGTTGCTTTGAAGGCCCATTTATTCTCCAGCCTCAAGTTCCAAGATGAGGTCAGAAAAATGCATGGATACCCTGGATTCTTGACTGACCTGTCTGCAACCTCTTGAGGCTGAGGAGTCTCTAGTTGCTGGTATTGTGGTGATGCCTCCAGACCCCACTTTAGCCACAGAGATGACACAATCACCACTGCCAAAGAGCACTCCTCTGTGTGGAGAGCAAACGTGAGAATAAACACTTATGAACCGTGCACCATGCTAGACTCTGCCATCATTATTTCATTGATGGAGATGTTATTATCTGCACAATACAGATGAGGATACTGAGGGCAGGAAGTGTGAGTAGGAGTTGGTACTTAAACTGGAGTCCCTTTGATTACACCAGATTTCTCCAATAGTTTTGACCTGGACACAGCAGGATAGAGAACTCTAGGATTGCACAATGTCAGAGATGGAAAGGGGAAGGAGGCTACAAGGCATGAGTCCAGAGGTTCTGGGAGGAGAAGGATTATTACTAGAATCATCTACCCAAGGCATTCTCCCATGTAGACATAGTGGGCTATATAGAAGCCAGTTCAGTGGGAGATAAAAGACTCTGTGGGTCCAGTCCAGAGTGTTCTAGGAATATAACCAAAGGGCTCAATGCTCTTTCCACCACACTCCATGAATGAATCTGGTTGCTTCGAGGATGAGGCTGGGGGCTTTTCACTTCTCTCTGAGGTCAGTCTATCATTGTCACTTGAGTCTAAAAGGACAGACACTGCATAATTAGGTCCTTGCTGGTTTGTGGTTCAATGGGAGAGCCAAAGAGTGAAAACCTAATTAGTGCCTCTTTTTTTAGCTTAGGGTGGAAGGACCACTTGGGCTGAGATTCTCTACAGCTGTATGACACTTTGTGGAAAATAAAGCATGAAGTTCAACTTGGCCACAGGGAAGAGGAGGTGGAGATAGTGATGAGCTATGTCATCAAGACTCTTCCAGATGCAAAAGGTAGATGACCTGGCACAAATTATTGTGGCACAAATAGAAATTGCTTGGCTCTTATAGCTGAAATTCTAGGAGTAGGGCTAGCTTCAGGTATGGCTTAATCCAGGGGCTCCAACAATGTCCCAGAGTTCATTTCTCCCTCTCCTGGTTCTGGTTTCTGCTGTCACCACCATTCTCAGACAGGTTCTTCCCATGCTGGCAGGACGGTCACCAGCAGATCCAGGCTGCCTTCTTCATGGTTCCAATTTCAGCAGAAAAGAGAAAATGCTTTCTCTTAAGAGTCCCAGCCAAAGTGTCAGGATTGCATCTCACTGTCTCTGGTTAGTTATATGCCCATGCCTGACTCAATATCTGATGCCAGAAGGATGTACTGCTCTGCTTGGCCAGCAGATTTTTATGCCCATCCTTGAACTGAGGATAGAGTCAGGACAACTCAAGTTCCGTGGACTGACAGTAGGAGATGAGTGGTTTTTCCAAGAGGAAAATTGGGGTACTATAAGAAGGGCAGATTCTAAAAATAGATGTCTACTATAGAGACCTTGGGGAAGTCATTTCCTGTCTCTAGATCCCTGACTCCTCAAGTACATGTAAATTCAAGGGCAGAAATGGGTCTCATTAAGAGCAATAATCCAAACTGCCTGAGCTTCTGTTGCCACCTGCCCACATAAGATCCCAGCCCCTTGTGCAGTGTCTCTTGGGCATTTTTAGCATCTCCAGGAGGTGTCCCACACAGATTCACCCATAGATCCCTTAGTGCCAGGTGCCATTGCTGCCCTCAAGTACTACGTTCCTAATCACAGGCGAGGCCACAGTGCTCCTAATGTACCCAAGCTGTGTGCTGATCTGCTGAGGAGCCTTCTAGGTTAGAGTCTATCAGAACAGCCCCATGGGAAGTAGCATGTGTCACGGAAACAGCTTTTGTCATTGCCTCCTGGAAACAGCTCTCCTAGCTTTTGTCTGAAGCTTCTCTTCTCTCACCAGGCTCAGACTCTGACCATGGAGCCAAGTGGGGTCAGCCGCCGTACTGCTGTCCACTTCACTCCCATTTCTGCCCCTTAATGGTTATATAAACTCATCAGACAAGCCCAAAAATGTCTGTGTCTCAGGCTCTTAGGCTCCAGCTGGATGACCACTCCTTAAAAAATAAAACTGGGCCAGCCACACCTACATTGCCTGTCACTTAAGAGTTGTGAGAATCAGTTGAGTCTGTGCTTGTGGAAGAATTTGAGCTCTAAATGCTACATGGGAGAAAGACTCAGTTTATTTGGACTTCGGCAAGGTATTGTCAGTTTCCAGAGGAGGGTTCACCTCCTTCCCCTCTGCCTCAGTTCCAATGTTCTCAACCTTGGTCCCATATTAAAGTCACACAGGTGGCGTTGATGCCAAAGCACGGGCAGCAAAAGAAAAACAAATAGACACATTGGACTTCAACAAAATTTAAAACTTTTCTACATAAAAGGGCACTATCAAGAGGCAAAAAGACAATCTACAGAATGAGAGAAAATATTTGCAAATAATAGATAAGGTATCCATATTCAGAATGCATAAAGAATTCCTGCAACTCAACAACAAAAAACAAACAATCCAATTGAAAAATGGGCCAAGAATTGAATAGATATTTTTCTAAAGAAGACTCACAAAGGACTAATCAGCAGGCACATAAAAAGATGCTTGACATCATTAGTCATTCCGGAAACGCAAATCAAAACCACAATGAGATACCATTTCACAGCCATTAGGAATGGTTATCATAAAAAAATAGAAAATAAATGTTGGCAAAGGCCATGGAGCATTTGGAATCCTCATGCATTGCTGGTGGGAATATAAAATGGCGCAGCTGTTGGGGAAAATATAGAATCACCATATGATTCAGCAGTTCCACTTGTAGGTATACTCAAATTTTTAAAACAGAAACCAGATGTTTATACATCCCTACCAATAGCAGCATTATTCACAATAGCCAAACATGGAAACAAGCCAAGTGTCCATCAATGGATGAACAGATAAACAAAATGTGGTATGCATGGAATATTATTCAGCATTTTAAAAAAGGAATTTCTGACACACACTACAAGGTGGATGATCCTTGAGGGCACTATGGGAGTGAAATAAGCTGATCACAAAAGGATACATACTATACAGTTCCACTTATAGCTGATGTATCCAGAATAAGCAAATTCACAGAGACAGGAAGTAGAAGTTGTCAGGGGCTTGGGGAGGAAAGAATGGGAGGCTATTGTTTAATGGATGTAGAGTTTCAGTTCAGGAAGATGAAAGAGTCCTGGAGATGGATGGTGGTGACGGCTGCACAACAGTAAGAAGGTACTTCATGCCACTGAACCATACACTTAATAATGGCTGGCCGGGCGCGGTGGCTCACGCCTGTAATCCCAGCACTTTGGGAGGCCAAGGCGCGTGGATCACCTGGGGTCAGGAGTTTGAGACCAGCCTGACCAATATGGTGAAACCCCATCTCTACTAAAAATACAAAAATTAGCCAGGAGTGGTGGCAGGCGCCTGTAGTCCCAGCTACTCGGGAGGCAGAGGCAGAAGAATTGCCTGAACCTGGGAGGTGGAGGTTGCGGTGAGCCGAGATCACAGCACTGCACTCCAGCCTGGTGACAGAGCAAGACTCTGTCTCAAAAAACAAAAAGAAAAAAAGATGGCTACAATGGTTAATTTTATGTTATATATATTTTGCCACAATTTAAAAAAGATCACTCAGGAACTTATAAAAATCCCAATGCCCAGGTCTAGTAAGACCATTTCAATCAGAACCTCTGGGGTCAGACCCTGTCACTGGTCTTTTAAAAAAGCTTCCCAGGGGGCTGGGCGTGGTGGCTCACACTTGTAATCCCAGCACTCTGGGAGGCCGAGGCAGGCAATCACCTGAGGTCAGGAGTTCAAGACCAGCCTGGCCAACATGGTGAAACCCCGTCTCTACTAAAAATACAAAAAAAATTAGCTGGGCCTGGTGGCTCACGCCTGTAGACCCAGCTCCTCGGGAGGCTAAAGCATGAGAATTGCTTGAACCCGGGAGGTGGAGGTTGCAGTGAGTTGAGATCATGCAACTGCACTCCAGCCTGGGAAACAGAGTGAGACTGGGTCTCAAATAAATAAATATAAATAAAAATAAATAAAAAGCTTCCCAAGGGATTGTAATGCGAGGATTGAGAACCACTAGACTAGATCTTCAAAGCAACAGGCAAGCTGAGTGACCAATGGGGTGGTCTATAAAAGGGGAGACACTCTCCTTCCATTCTTTTGACCTCTGACCTCTGCTTCTGGTCCCGGCCCCTCTGCCCACTCCTCTGGTCCCTAAGACCAAATTTAAGATATTGGAGCACCCAGGTCCCTGGCTAAACGCCACAGCCCTTTTCCTCACTTCTGGCCAGGAATAGTGCATCGCATTCTTCATGGGTGGGAGAGACCTTCAGCTCCAGTGAGAGACAAATGTAAAAGAATCAACAAAATGCAAATGAAATTAAATAAACTTGTTTTAATCATTAGCAGAACAAGAGCAAGCAGTAAGTGTTGATCACCCCATTTGTGGAGTGAGGGGTGGAGGGAGTATTTATAAATGCTTTGAAAAAAAGTTTCTCCTCTTAGCGGTAAGGTCCTGGATCACTTACTCCCAGCAGCATCCGAGGCTCCCGAGAGCCATTTCTGTGCTGTCTCATTCCAGGAATGTGTGTGGAGCACCTGCTCTGAACCGGCACTGTGCTGGGTACTTGCTGGGAATACGAGATGACCCCAGCTTTCTAGGAGCTAATTGGCTGATGAGCCGAGGCAGGGACATTTGCAGAAAGGAGAAAAATAGAAAGACATAGATTTTCATGACTGAGCTATGGATAATCTGGACACCAAAAAATAAACCTTTGCTTCATTACTTGCCTGATGCCTTTGCCTCCATCCCCATCCTAAAACCAGGGCTGGACTATGGGGTGACACAAGTGGGGATCCCATTTCAAGTGCAAAATTTAAGGGGGCCCCAAAAGTCCCCATAGTCAATATAAATAACATTTTAATGCAATTGTCTAAAAATAAAAATTCACATTAAAAGTCCCTCATAGACAACATTTGAAAGTCAGGACCAGAGCCTGCACTTGCAAGAGCTGGCCTCTCCTGCCTCACCCTTATCCTGCCCCTGGCTCCAATCAAATTTCATTTCTATAAATGGCTCATGGGCTGTAGTTTGTTAATTTGTTTTTTTAGAATATTGCATTAAAATATGATTTATTTTGATCATTTACTTTGAGCTTTTTAGAGATGAGTGCCTTGATTATTTCACCCTAGTCCCAGCCCTGTGGCAAAGTATCCTTGAAAACAGAGATGCCAGTAAAAGACAAGATGCATGATTGAATTCCAATCTCAGATTAAATATGCCCATGGGATATACTTATACAAGAAGACTATTTGTCTGAAATTCAAATTTAATTGAGTACCTTGTTTTTGTTTGCTAAATATGGCAGCCCTGCTTGAGGAGTATCAAACTGACTCCCCCGAAGACAAGGTGGTATTTAGTCCCATAGCAACATACCCCACCCACGTACACATGCATTTTACATACCATGAAAGTGACACTCCTGTGCATTAACACACTGTTTCCAAAGGATGTCCATCCCTTGATCTTCCTACAGCCTCTTGCCCTATACTTTCAGTCATTGAGCCTGACCCCAACTGCCTGGGCCCTCCTCAGCCTCCATGGGTCACAGTAGGCAGGAAAGATCCCACAGGCTGGTGGATGCAAAGTCTTGGATCTCTCAGAGCCACCCTGGGCATGTCCAGATCCAGCCAAACTCCTATTGCTTTACCTGGGCCCTCCTGCTTTCAGTATTTATTCCCACTGGGCAAATTGAATTCTGATCAGCAGGGACTCTGGCCATGGAGAGTTATAGGTCAACTTCCTGGGACAACAGGTGTGACAATCAATGCATCAATGGCAAACCAAAAATGGTGGGGACATTCCTTGCCCCAAGAGAATGGTAGTGTAAATCAGGCTGGTAGAAGCCAAACTCAGAAAGGTAGATAGAGCCAGAAAGGAGAGGAACAGACCAAAGACGACATTCAGAGGGTCCCCAGGCACTGGGGCCAATCCTCAAAGGGAGGATCAAGCAGAACTCCTGCTGTGCAGGGACAGAGAACTGAGGCAAAGAGAGAGAGAGGCAAGACTTGATAGGAGAGGAAGAGCAGAGAGGAGTGGCACTCTGGTGGGTGGAGTTACATACTCTCCAAGGAGGGCAGGCACACCCCAGCTGACCTGGGAGAGCAGACTGTCTCTTGCAGCATCCTGCCATGGCCACATGGGGGCGCTTCTAGCTCCCTCTCACCCTGCCCAGTGTTCTCCAAGGGTGGGCTTGCAGCAGAATTACCTGGGATGCTTATTAAACAGCTCCAATTCCTGGCCATGGTCCCAGACTCACTGTCTTAGAATCTTAGCCACAAGTCTAGGATTCTGCATTTTAAAAGCTTCCTAGGAGGTTTTCACGCACCCTAAACCCAACCTCAGATGGAAAGCATGCACCCCAAGGGATAAAGGAAGAGATATTGGCTGGCTTCTCTATAACAGGAGACCTCTCTTCATGGTGGGACTTCATTGGCTTGAATTTAGAGCCAGGCCCTAGGGTCTGGTGGGCATTGTGGAAAACACACTGGTGGGGGTTATTAGGATGAGAAGAGCAGGCAGAGGCTGTGAGCATGACACACAGCCTCTTTCATACAGAGCTTGAAGAACCTTGTGATAGCTTTCATATCAAAGTGGCATGGTGAATGGAACGAGAATGATTCCGTGCCCAGCAACGTGTGTCCTGCTTTGCTTCCTCTTCCTGGGCCCCCTCAAGAGTCCCTGGGAGCAGAGCCAGGGTGGTGGAACTCCACCCTAGATCTCACTCTCTTCCAGAATCTCCTCCATGGTGTTGGCCATGGTGACATCCCCCTCACTGCACTCGGACAGGCTGCTGCCCCGGGGCCAGCGTGCATGGTCCTGTTGGGGCTGGGCGCCCAGCTCCCCAAGACCTCGCATGGCTAGATGTAGGAGCCGCCCACTGTTAAGTGAGGGCTGCAGCTTCCGAAGCTTCTCAGCGCCATCTCCTTCCGAGAGCTTCTTGGGACATTTTCCTAGGAACCGGAAGTCCTTCCCCAGGACACAGGCTCTGCAGCCTGAGTGGCGGGCTAGCAAGAAGCGGACCCAGTATTTCCGCAGCTCAGCCTTCACCTGCCGGGTGAGACAAGTGAGAGGTTACTGTCTTGGAGTCATTTAGCCATGTGTCCATTTAGCAAATATTAATTGAGTAGCTACTCTGTGCCACCCTTGGGAAATTTACCTTTTAACTGGGGGAGACAAGGAGAAACAAAGATACATAAACATGTCTGGTGGTGATGACACTGTGAGAGTACTAAGCAGGACAATACGGTAAAGAAACAAAAACTTAAGACAGGGTGTTCAGGAAAGGACTCTGCCGGGGTGGCATGTGAGCTGAAACCTGCTTGATAGGTGAGGAGCCCCCTGCATGAAGATACAGAAGAAGCAGCAGTGAGCAAAACAGAAGATGGTTTTGCTGTCAAGAAGCTTACATAGAATGTGAGCTATGTACATTCTATGTAAGTGGAAGTACATAATGGGAGGAGACAGAAATAAATATTTACACTTGTAGTAGGGCGAGAGGAGGTTGAAAAGGGGTTGGAAACTCTACCAACTCCTAAAGACAGGAGAAAACACCTGTTCTGGCCTCTGCCCCTCCCACTGTCAAATCTTTTCCCAGGGAAGCAGAGAGCTGGTTGGGCTATGCAATAATATGAATAACTAAAAGCAATAATAGGCCAGGCTTCATGGTTCATGCCTGTAATCCCAGCACTCTGGGAGGCTGAAGCAGGTGGATTACTTGAGATCAGGAGTTTGAGACCAGCCTGGCCAACATGGTGAAACCCCATCTCTACTAAAAATATAAAAATTAGCTGAGTGTGGTGGTGGGCACCTGTAATCCCAGCTACTCAGGAGGCTGAGGCATGAGAATCGCTTGAATCTGGGAGGCAGAGGTTGCAGTGAGCTGGTATCATGCCACTGCATTCCAGCCTGGGCAACAGAGTGAGACTCTGTCTCAAAAAAATAAAAATAATTTTTAAAAAAATGTAATCATAGTTCCCAGGTGTTGAGCATTTATTTGCTATGTGCTCAGCATACCCAGAGCAAGACTACAAAGCAGGGATGATTGTTGCTCCCATGTTACTGATGAGGAAAGTGAGGCTAAACAAAGTGCGGTGACCCAGCTAACTCACAGAACTCCTGAGGGTGAACCAAGGCGTGAATTCAGATTTTTGGACTCTGAGGTTCAAGCTTGTTTCCTCTGTCACATTTGAATACTCCTTGCATCTCCAGCAGAGCCAGTGCTGGCTTCTGAACTCCCTTATACCCATCCCGACACCTTTTTTCCATTTGTCTAAGCTGCCTCCTGCTCTCTGTACCGGAAGCTCACAATACAAATTTGTCCCCACACATGCTGGTCACTGCACATTCTCCCGTAGCATCATCCCATCCACAGAAACCTCCAGAGGTGGGTAGGGTTGCAGTCCCAACCTCACATGAAACCAGGATGGCAACGTGGAAATCATACCTCTCCATTGGCAAAACCATACTGCAAGGCCACCAGGAACCCCTGAAACAAAAGGAGGACATGGCATAAAATCTGACTCCGGAGAAGATGTGTCTGAGAGTTACTGGCAACGTCCAAAGCCCTGCACAGGTCGTAAGGAGTCTCCAGAAGAGGCGTGCAACTGCATTGCTTACACTAACTAGAATTAGTCATACTGGTTACATTAACTTGGATTTCCATGGCATCTGTTCTTACTTTGACATCCAGCGCCCCGCCCGCCCTGCTCCGCCTATATCAGCCTAGGTGTTTGCTTAGATTGTTCACAGGTGCACATGGGTCAATGATGATTAAACCCCCAAGACCTTGTGTCATTCATTCAATTATACAAATATTGGGCAAGGTCACTGTTGCATCTCTACTTGGTCATAGTGGGCACTGGCTAATGTTTGTTTATTTGTTTGTTTGTTAGAGATGGAGTTTCACTCTTGTCGCCAGGCTAGAGTGCAGTGGCTCAACCTCGGCTCACTGCAACCTCCGCCTCCCGAGTTCAAGCATTCTCCTGTCTCAGCCTCCCAAGTAGCTGGAATTACAGGCGGACGCCACCACGCCCGACTAATTTTTTGTATTTTTAGTACAGACGGGGTTTCACCATGTTGGGCAGGCTGGTCTCAAACTCCTGACCTCAGGTGACCCGCCTGCCTTGGCTCCCAAAGTACAGGGATTACAGGCATGAGCCACTGTGCCTGGTCCTTTTTTTTTTTTCTTTGCCTGACTTGCATCCTTTCCTTTTGGCCCCTGACCCTCCCTACTCTCTGAGCTTCTGGCAGGGCTGTCAGTCATGTGGTTCCCATGTTCCAGGATGACCATCGCCACAATACTCAGCCCAAAATGGGCTGGAATCTAAGGTGCTCCAGTTAATGCTTGTTTCCATTGTCTTTCTCAGGCTCCTACATATCCTGATTTGTCAGATAGTCACTGTGATCACCTACATGTCCTGGCTGTCCCTAATTGATGTAAGGGTCTGTGGAATTTGGGCAGTGTGTCTGATATATTGGAACTGGATGTGTGTGCAGGGCCCAATGCTTGCATGTTTATAGAAAATGCCAGAACTCACAAGGAAAGGATGCATTTCCAACTAAAGAGTGAAGGTCCCAGTGGCAGGCTGACTCCTCTTATATCTCTTGATGATAATGAAATGTGGCACTGGGGAAGGCTTTTCTGCTCTTCCTTATGTAAGCCTTGTTCAGCATGTCCCTTCTGGAGCCAGACCAGGATCTCCACACTGGCAATCACGACATCAACCAAATGCTTGGATTCTGCCCATGAATGTGGAATTTTCCTTCTCTTATGCACCTAGATATTCCATGGCTATAGCTTCCATAACAGGGGCATACTGTTATCACTTAATCATTTTCACACATGCAATCTGGTCAGAGGTTCACAGCTGCCCTATGCGGTTGGCGGGACAGGTAATATTTGCCTCTGGGCACATGATATCAGAAGAGCTGGCTTTTAGGGTGCCAGGATTCTCACAAACAAGTTGGCTAAAATAGGATTCCACATGACAAATGTGTCTTTTTCACTTCCTCGGGTGCTTGCTTCACAGTTTTAGGAACATCCTAGGGTCTGGTTCTCATTCTAGATTAAGCAAGTGTGAAGGGAGTGGGTCCCACAGAACACATGGCTCTTACTTCATATGTCACCGCTGTTTGGCAGTCTCTCCAAAGCTCCACTGATAGCAGGAGGCTGGTGGAACTCTCTAAGCAGTAGGCTCTTGGAAGAGTAAAGGACCCTCCAAAGCAGCAAGGAAAGGAAGCTGTTAGGGCTGATGCCTGTTCTTGCCAATTCCCATGGTGGAGTCTCTAAAATGATCCACCAAGTGTAGTTCCCCCAACATCTGCCCACCTGTGCTCTTGCCTCTGCCTGGTGGGATGCAGAGAAACACGGCAGGAGTATTCCGAAGGTGGGAGTCCTCTGCCCACACACAAGCCCTCTAAGTGTGTTTTCTGGCTCAGTCCTGGTACAAAACACCCTGCAGAGTCACTTTGATTCCTCACGTTCCTCAGCAGTACAGGGTGATGAGCAGAGCTCTAGCTGGCTTCAGGAACAAATCTTCCATGCTGGTAGCTAGTCTCCAGAGATGGCCTTGATGGTTCCTCTACTTTCTGTGGGCTCAGGCTGCTCTTCGCATCAAAAAGTGGACCTAGTTTTTCTCTCCCCTCGAATCTAGGATGACTTTGTGACTCCTTTTTTTACTGATACAATGTCGTAAAAGTGACATTCTGGGAGTTCTATGCCTATGACTTAAGAGGGCTGGAAGTTTCTACTTCCTCCATCTTAGAGGAAGTAAGATGGAGGAAGGTCCTGAGAGTCCAGCCGCCATGCTGTGAGATATCCAAGATACATGGAGAGGCCACATGGAGGAGAACTGAGGCCCCCTGAGCTATATAGTCTTAGCTGAGGTCCTGTCCAACAGCTAGCGTCAATGTCTAGTTATGTGAATGAACCATCTTGGATGTGCCACTCCAATTGGGCCTTCAGACGTTTGCAGCCCCAGCCGAAAATCACATGTATCAAAAGAACTATCTACCCTGAGCCCAAGCAGCCCAGTCTACTGAATCATTAAAAATATTAAAATGAGGCCGTGTGTGGTGGCTCATGCTTGCAATCCCAGCTACTCGGGAGGCTGAGGCAGGAGAATGGCTTGAACCTGGGAGGTGGAGGTTGCGGTGAGCCGAGATAACACCATTGCACTCCAGCCTGGGCAACAAGAGCAAAACTCCATCTCAAAATGATAATGATAATGGTAATAATAATAATAATAATAATAATAATAATAATAATAAAATGGTTACTATTTTAAGCCATGAAGTTTTGGCATGGTTTATTACACAGAATCAGATGACCAACACATCCTCCCAAGGCAGAAGAGTCTGATAGTCTA